>NC_000001.11:212730041-212881556 GCF_000001405.40 Homo sapiens
GGAGTTCGAGACCAGCCTGACCAACATGGCAAAACCTCATCTCTATAAAAATGCAAATATTAGCCCAGCATGGTAGCACGCGCCTGTAATCCCAGCTACTCGGGAGGCTAAGGCATGAGAACCTCTTGAACCTGGGAGGTGGAGGTTGCAGTGAGTTGAGATCGCTCCACTACACTCCAGCCTGGGTGACAGTCTCAAAAAAAAAAAAAAAAAAAAAAAAAAAAGAAATGCGCCAAGTCTCAGGTATTTATGGACTGGTGAAGAGTTGTGTGGAGGGTGGCATTCCCATCAAGGTGGCATCAGGGGCAGAAATGGACAAAAGAACTCCAATGACATCATTGTAGAAGATGTGGGCCACAGAGCTACATGAATGGGCACCAAGGGAGGTCTTAAAATCTGCAACTAGGTATGAGCCCAAAGGCACTGGAGCCATTCTCTGAGTAAGGCTAGTCAAGGTGATGATAGAAATGCCCAATCTTTTACACAGGCACAGGAGTCAGCTGGAGCAGAAGACCTGCAGGGAGAAGTTGAATTTTCTTCTCTAGCTATCCCAGGCCACCCAGAAGTCAGGGGATGTGACCAAAGGAAAAGGTGATCAGAAGGCAACTATACCTGCTAGCACAGTGATGTCACTGAGGGATGTCAATGCCATCCTCTGCTCTTATGTCCTGCAGGGATATGGGAATTAGACTTAGTTCTAGTAGACGTAGTTCTAGTAGACAGGAGACTCTGGAGTCCTAATTCAGGTCAGTTTCCCAGTGATCTGTCCTCAGTTTTTTACCTCTCCCCTCCCCACACTCACCTTCTAAGTTCAATTAATAATGAATATAAATGCCACAAGCCATTAATGTGTGAGATTGTGATCCAGGGAAACCGACAAGTTAGAAATTTGCAATATGAACTCATTCATTCAACGAATATTAGTTTACAGCCCATGGGCAAAGTATGAGCAATGTAGAGACACAGCAACGAATTACAAGGGATTCTTTACCCCTGAAGCTTCAAATGAATATAACATTAATTTTCTCAAATCCTTTCATATAAAATCCCCAAGAACCCCCTTCAGTGGTTCTCTAGAGAGATATTTTTTTCTTCAGAGACTTTCATAATATAATCTATTTGCAAAACAAATGGTCAGAGGGGAGAAAAAAAAAAAAACCTGAAGAAACCAAAACTAGAATTATCAGCCAAAAACAGAGAATAGTAAGTCTTATCTGAAATATACTGTGATAGGCCAGGTGCAGTGGCTCATTCCTGTAATCCCAGCACTTTGGGAAGCTGAGGCAGGAGGATGGCTTGAGCCCAGGAATTCAAGACCAGCCGGGGCAATATGGCGAGACCCCATCTCTAAAACAAATAAACTAGCCGGGCATGGTGGCACACGCCTGTTTTGAAACCCTGAGAAAGCTTCTGAAACCCTGAAAAACTGAAACCCCGAGAAAGGTTCTAGGGGATGATTTGTCTCTTAAACCAAATTTATTTTCCCTTAATTACTATATGCATTTAATTTTAAAAATCAAATCTATGAGGCTTCTATCAAAAATTATCAGTCCCTGGCCCAGTTCCCCCACCTAAGTTCATCCACAGAGTTAATACTTCCCACTTCGTCAGCTCTTTATTCTGCTGCACTAAATTATATCCATATTGTATGATCTTGAATCAGCTTTTTAGACATCCACTGACTTCCAGTTGTGGTGGGTGAAGATTTCACTCCCCACTGCCATGTCAAAGCTGGTGTTCAGACAGTCACACTGTTACAAACATATGGATTGTACTGGTTGGCACAGAAGCCTCCTCACTATCCCTGCCACTCTGGCTGCTCCAGCTCCATGTCCTGGGACACCCTACCCTGCCCCAGGACCCAGCAGCTATAAGGGCCTCCACACCCCACCTTACTGCTTTAACCAATGTCCATCTAACTGTTCAGTGCCTGTGCTGTACTAATTGCTAATTCCCATCCTTTAGCCTCCCAGTGTAACTGTCCCAATTTTTTTTTTTTTTTTTTACTGAATTCAGATTCAGGGTTTTTATTATTATGGCTATATAAATATTGTTCACTGGAGAACTAATTTGTAACCATGATTACATTTCTTTTTTTGTACAGCTTTCTGCCTCTACTGTAGTGAATAACTGCCTTATTTTTTGTTTCTTTGAACATCTTAATCATATTACAAAACATCTCCTTTATACAATTTTCTGCATAGTTAACATTATCACTCGTGTTGTCACTTTTATTTTTTTCTGAAAATATCTCTTTTGGAGTCCTACATAGTCCTTTTTTTTTTTTTGAGATGAAGTTTCGTTCTTGTTGCCCAGGCTGGAGTGCGATGGCGTGATCTTGGCTCACTGCAACCTCTGCCTCCTGGGTTCAAGCGATTCTCCAGCCTCAGCCTCCTGAGTAGCTGGGATTACAGGCATGCGCCACCACGCCCAGCTAATTTTGTATTTTTAGTTGTTGGTCAGGCTGGTCTCCAATTCCCAGCCTCAGGTGATCTGCCTGTCTCGGCCTCCCAAGGTGCTGGGATTACAGGTGTGAGCCACCGCACCCGGCCTACATAGTCTTATTCCAACCTGGTCTGCCTAGTCTCCAAATCTGCTGATTAGTTAGTAGCCTGTAGACTCGAGTGTGCTGTGTTTTGGGAGCCTTAGTTTCCCAGATCCCATGGCTGCTGCTTTTTTGGTTTACCCTTTGGAATAGAGCACAGCCCCTGGTAGAACCCCCAAACGGGATGCCTTGGAGGTAATTTTTTTTGACGCTTTGCATATCTGAGATATCTTTTAGCTAATCATGCACTTGATTATTAGTTTGACTGTGTATAAAAGCCTAGGTTGTATATCATTTATGCTGAGAATATTTCTCCAGATGCTTCTAGATTTTAGGATTGTTGTTTAGTAATCTGATGCCATTCCAATTCCTCTTGGTATTCCTCAGGTCTGGGAATGTTTCTTGTGTTATTTCTATTTCTTTATTCTCTTTTTAAATTGAGATATACTTTACCATCTCACTCACCCTTTTAAACTGTATTGTTCAATGGTTTTCAGTATATTCAACAAGCAGTCGTGAATCACCATAATCAAATTTAGAGGGTTTTCATCACCCTCAAAAGACATCCCAGGCCAGGCGCAGTGGCTCACGCCTGTAATCCAGCACTTTGGGAGGCAGAGGTGGGCGGATCGCTTGAGCTCACGAGTTTGAGACCAGCCACATAGCGAAACTCCGTCTCTACAAAAAATACAAAAATTAGCTGGGCATGATGGTGCATGCCTATAGTCCCACCTACTTGGGAGGCTAAGGTGGGAGGATGGCTTGAGTTGCGGGGGCAGAGGTTGCAGTAAGCCAAGATAGCACCACTGTACTCCAGCTTGGGCAACACAGCAAGACCTTGTTTCACAAAAAAAAAAAAAAAAAAATCCCATACCCATTAGCAGTCACTTCCTATTCCTTCCACCCTCTCCATCTTTCCAGCCTTAGGCAGTGACAGATCTATTTTTTGTTTCTGTAGATTTGCCTGTTCTGGACAGTTCATTTACATGGAGTCTACAAAATTCAGCAGTCTTTTGTGAGAGGCTTCTTTCACTTGGCATGTTTTAAGGTTCATCTACACTGTGGCATTTACCAGTACCTCATTTCTTCTTATTGCCAAATAATATTCTATTGAGTGGATAGTCCACATTTTATTTATCCATTCATCAGTTCATGAAAGTTCAACCTGCTGCTACAAACATTTGTGTGTAAGTTATTGTGTGAGCATGTTTTCAATTCTCTTAGGTTTAGAACGTGGAGTAAAATTGCTGGGCCATATGGTAACTGCATTATCTCTTTGATAATTTTGACTCTGCTGCTTTTTCTGCATGCTATCTCTGGAATGGGTATCGATTAGACTTTGAACTTTATGAACTTATTCTCTTTATTCTTACTTTTCTAATTTGCCATTTCTTAATCTTTCTGTTTTATTTTTGGGAAAATTTCATTTTATCTCCCAGCCCTCCCACTGAATTTTTATTTCAACTTTCATATTTTTAATTTTCAAAAACTTTTTCTTATTTACTGAACATTATTTAATAGCATTCCGATTTTCCAAAAAATGTATGATTTTCTCTTCTTTCTGGGAGTACAGTCATCATTCTGGGATTTTGCTTTGTATGTATCTGTTTTCTTTGAGGTCCTTTATTCTCTTTGGTTTTTGTTTTAATTCACTCAGTTAACCACTATGCATCGAGGGCCCATCATGTGCCAGCAATTATTCCAGGTGGATGGAACAAAGATTCCTGCCATTAAGGGACTTACAGTTTTTGGGTCTGTCTTTGATGCTGGAGACGCTCCTCAAATATTTGGTGAATCAGTTTTGTGCATTTTTAAAATATAAAACTTAAATAAAGTGCAGAAATTTTAAGTGTATAGTTCAACAAAATTTTACATACATATACAGCCATGTGAGCACCACTCAGATCAAGATACAGAACATTTTGCTCACCCAAAAATGTTTCCCGTGCCATTCCCAGTTAATATCTCCCCTCTCCCCAGAGGGAACCACCATGGCTTAGTTTTGCCCATTCTGTGATTCCATACACAGGATGTATTCTCTTGTGCCTGGCTTTGCTTCTTTTATTCAATATAGTATCTTTGATATTGATCCACATTGTTATAACAGTAATTTGTTCTTTATTCCTGTATTCCTTCCCTGATTATTTGCCTAAAACATTCAAGACTGCTCAAATGCCACCTCTTCTACAAAGACTTCCATGACTACTCCCCTAAGTTCCACACATACATCTATCATACCATTTGCTGCATGGCATTATCATTGTTTGCACACTCATCCTCTTCACTGGAATATGACCTTCCTGAAGGCAACACTTGTCCTGAGTGTTTTCATTTCCTTTATCAAAAGAAGTAATAACAGTGATCATAGAGTACTCATATGCACCAGTTATTAGTCTAAGGCCTTCACATTATGAACTCATTTACTTCTCAGAATAACGCTATGAGGTAGGCATAATTATTATCCCCATTTTGCACATGAGAAAACTGCAGCATAGACAGGTTATGTAACTTGCCCAATGTCACTGAACTAATAATGGTAGAACTGCAATCTGAACCCAGATGATCTGGCTCAGAGACTATGCTCTTTAAGATCTCTGACTTTTGATCATAGACAGGTTAAGTAACTTGTCCAATATCATTGAACTAATAATGGTAGAACTGAAATCTGAACTCAGATGATCTGGCTTAGAGGCTGTGCTCTTAAGATCTCTGACTTTTGATCCGAGTAGGTGTCCAACTGTATGTGTTGAACAGATGAATAAATGAATGAAGGTGGATAGAGAAGATAGGTGTTCACCAGAAATCAAACAAATTCAGCCTTAGAAAAGAAAAAGTACATCTTACAAGATGAAATCATACTGTTTGAAGCAATAAAAAATTTGGTTTTATTCACTTTGTCCTCTACGGAGCCCAAGCCATAAAGGGCCAGGGAAAGAGGTCTAGGATAAGATTTTCTGTGGGCTTGTGTTATGGACTCAATGTTTGTGTCCCCCTAAAATCTGTATGATGAAGCCTTAACTCCCATGTGCCTATAGCTGTATTTGGAGATGGGGCCTCTAAGGAAATAATTAAGGTTAAATGAGGCCATAAGGGTGGGGCTCTGATCTGATACAATTGGTGTCCTTATAAGAAGAGACACCAGAGAGCTTGCACTCTGTCCCTCTCTCCACATGCATGCACTGAGGAAAGGCCATGTGAGGACATAGTAAGGAGGTGGTCATCTACAAGTCGGGAAGACAGCCCTCACCAGAAACTGCATTTGCCAGCACCTTCTCATGGACTTCTAGCCTCCAGAACTGTGAGAAGTAAGTATCTGTTGTTTAAGCCACCCAGCCTGTGGTATTCTGTTATAGTAGCCTAAATAAACAAATGTAGATTTTGGTACCAGTTTTCAGAAACCAGCTTTGACAGTGTTCTCTCTTCTTTGGGACTAGACTTAACCTTCTTGTGTTCTTCTTATTATTATTTTGAAACAGGGTCTCACTCTGTCACCCAGGCTGGAGTACAGTGGTGCCATCCTGGCTCACTGCAACTTCTGCCTCCAGGGCTCAAGTGATCCTCTCATTTCAGCCTCCTGGGTGGCTGGGACTACAGGTGTGTGCCATCACACCCTGCTAATTTTTGTATTTTTTGTAGAAATGGAGTTTCACTATGTTGCCCAGGCTGGGCTCAAGTAATCTGTCCACTTCAGCCTCCCAAAGTGCTGGGATTACAGGCATGAGCCCACCGCGCCTGGCTATTTCTTTTCTGAAAGATAATTTTAAGACCCTATTCAATCCAGACTCTTTTTATCATAGAGCAAGATTTGATTTTCAATTTTTTCCTTCAACCTTTCCAATTCCTTAAAACTACAGACTTTCTTGCTTTTAATCCTTAGCTTACTAGTTCTTGGCCTATGCAGAAATGCAACTTCTCCTCTTACACAGTATACTTATTCAATATTATTACTGCTATTGGTCATGCTTTTCTTAGTTAATAATGCTAATACGTACTGTCTTTCCCAGTGGTATTTCTATTTTAAACTCTGCTATAACTATGGAGTAAAACTTTGGGCTCTCAAGAGGATTTCAAATCTCAGCTGTCTGCCTGGGGACTTTAAAATATAACCATTTTTTAAAAACTTATAAAAATTTCCAACACAAAGTAGAATATAGTCATTACACAGATTCAACATTAACAGGATTTTTGTCACATTTCCTTAATCGATTCCTTGTTTCTCTGCTGAATACTTCAGAGCAAATCTATCATGTCATTTAAAAACTCTATGTAGCACAATATACCTCTCTTAAAAGGGAGGGACCATGTTCTTATATAATCAAAATGCAAGTAGCTTATATAATCTAATAGAATTAACAATAACTCTTTTGTTTGGGGACCTCTGAAGTGAAACAAATCATACAGAATTTTAATACTATAAAAACATTAGCACTGTAAAAACAGCAACATATTATACAGCCTCAAAACAGTTTTAAACTGAAGTCTAGTATGTTCAGAAACGCAGGGTGCTGACCCACCATCCAACTGAAGCTGAGCTCAGGAATGCCTAAGACAACTCATAAAAATACACAGCATCAAGATCAGTCTTTGTACATTATTTCAATGAAAAACACATAGCTGTGTACAAATATACAGATCTCAAACTGTAACACTGAAACACAAAATGCAACAAAGTGGCTTTATAAGTTTTCTTCACTGAGACAGACCTTCTGGTGACTTCTGGTGAATCTAGACATTTATGATTATTAATACATAATAAGCAAGAGAAATACAGATTTTCCAACCTCATGATCAGTAAATTCCTTTGAAAAATGAATGAAGGTATCAGAGTCATCAAAAGGGGAAACAGTTGGTAAGTTTGATGGCCCTGCCTACACTGTATAATGTAAGACACACAATAAGAGCTATAAGAAACTATAGTTAAATGTTAGAAGTAAAGCCAATATCGTTTTCTCAGACTTCTCCCAGTGATTATATACCTGATATATAAACATCTTCAAATGTGAAATAGTTCAATAACACAATGACACTTTGCCAGTGTATTAATCTGATATATATTTTGAACTGGAATGATTTGTAAAGAAATAAATAAGAAACCCTAAAAAGAAACCATTAGTTCCAAGTCAAATTATGTTAATGGTCTATAGAAAAAAGTGAGTGTGGGCAGGAAACATTGGCTACATGCCAATTTTTATTTCAAAGAGTAATGTTGCACAAATAATAGTTATCATTGTCTTACACAACAAAAAATCCTAAAGTTAATCTCACAAACCTAAATTAGCTGAACATGGAGTAACAAAGTCAAAGCCAGTATTATCATCAGCACATTAATTTGATAAATCAAACTACATCTTTAAAAAAAAACCCTGCATCTGCTGCTGTGCAGAACTGATAATTACTTTTCAGCATGTAAACGAAAAATCATTATACAGCTCTCTCTCTTTTTTTTTTTTTTCCTAGAAAGATGTATACCAGGGAAACACAACAGAATTTGTTACTTGTTAAATCCCACAAAAGCTACAAGGGAGCTGAGAGTTGATGGCACTTAAGGACAGTAAAAGTCTGCACTTTTAATATTTTTAATGCCCACTGATGGGCTTTGTGTCAATACTTTTTAAAATGCTTTTTATTTACAATAGATAAAACAGTAAGGAAATACAATATTATATCATATCCCCGCACAGAGATACTATATCTGTATAAATGAATCACTAGTAAAAGAGTTATTTCTTATTTCAAATGAAGTCTTATCTAGGTATTAATTAGGCTGTAATCTAAATGTTGATGGTGCCTATTTTCAACTCCCAAAATAAACAGAAAGAGCTCATGTATCAAGATTAATTTTCTTTGGCCGCAATGGATACCATTTTCTCTGGGGGCAGTCTTTAGTTTGCTTTCTTTTCAGTACCATGTCAGAGGTTTTCCTGGAAGCAGTCTCTGTTGGTGTGGTTTCTATCTGTGTTATAAAGTTCTCAGGTTTAGCATCTGGTTTCCTATGACAACTGGAAAAGACTTCTTGGTGAATCCTCTGGAGGTGGATAACAGGCTGCATCCTGAGAACTTGGGAAAATCCCTCTCCTTGTTCAATTAATGCAGGCAAGGACTTCAAACAAACAAACAGTAATATTCAACATTAATCTCAGGTTGAAACACAAACAGACAAAGATGGATGCAGTACTCTAATTTTTTTTTTTTTTCTTGAGAAGTCTTGCTTTGTTGCCCAGGCTGGAGGGCAGTGGTGTGATCTCAGCTCACTGCAATCTCCACCTCCTGGGTTCAAGCAATTCACCTGCCTCAGCCTCCCGAGTAGTTGGGACTACAGGCGCGCACCACCACACTTGGCTAATTTTTGTATTTTTAGTAGACGTGGACTTTCACCATGTTGGCCAGGCTGGTCTTGAACTCCTGACCTCAGGTGATCTGACTGCCTTGGCCTCCCAAAGTGCTTGGATTACAGGTGTAAGCCACTGTGCCCTTGCTGATCCAGGCTTTAAATGCTGGATTGTAGGTTACTTATGTGCGCAACCTGCTTAGCCTCTCTGTGCCTCAGCTTCCTCATCTACAAAAGAAATAACAGTATCTGTCTCATAGGATGTAAGGATTACATGAGACAATACATGTAAAGCAGTTGGATGGTGCCCATACCAATTATTCAATACATTTTAGCTGGTATTATTATCCAAAACTGTTCGGTGAACTGCTAACACCCAGAACACAAAAATATAATCAACCTTTAAAGAAGACAGGTATATTACCTGGCACATAGTAGGTACCTGATAAATGGCAGCTATTCTAAATGTTACTGTTGCTTAATAAATTCATTAAAGATTTATTTAAAGGACCGCTGAGAATTCCTGTTAGAGCAGACTAAAACACATATGAATGTTGAATGCAAATACCTAGCCATACATTTTGTTCATTTGATAATTTTTTTAGCACATAGCTTTTACCTTCATGGCTTCACTGATCTCCTTTGCTACTGTTTCCCCTCTGCATTTCAAATTTTCCATATGAGGGGCTGCAAAAACATTGCCAAACAGTATTTTAGGTTTTTATCTAATAGCAAATCATAAAAGGCATATAGATACTATCTGAAAGGCATATAGATGCTATCTGGACAAAAATCTGCTAGGACGATTCACCTCAGCTTAATCTTTCTCAGAGTGAGACCATTATAATAATAGAGTAAAACTAAAAGTTATAAGCATAAGATGGTACACAAAATTCTATTACGAGTAGTCATAACACTGTGTGCCCCTAAAAGAGAGTTCAATGTTCATTCTATACATTACCTACCACTATGTTTAACATCTTTGAGCACTATCATCACATTTTTAAATAAATACTTTTTATATTACTCTGAATTTTATAAAAGTAACACATATTCGATCTTAGAATATACAATCACACTGCACTGAGATCATGCCTAGATGGAATTAATCTGGAACAGATTATCAGTAATACTACTTTCTCTTTCCTTACTTCCTAATACATATTTTCTTCTTCCAATCTTTGCATATTCAATGATACAGAAAGATAAAAATCTTACTAAAACTCTAAACAAAACTGAAAATGAGAAAAAATTGTTCCATTATGAAATCATCTATGAATTACTTTTTAGAAGAGTAGTTCTCACTAGAAATTTCTTAGAGTCAAAGCAAGTACATAACTATGTTAGGAGGGCCACATTTTCACTGGCTAGAAGAGATTGGTCAATAACCCAGGCAAAATATTTCTTTCATAACTGCTATTTTTCTTTTCTGACTTGTCTTAGGTTCATCTTTAAAAAGTGAGAACACATTTAGAAAAATGGAAATGAACCACAAAAACAGCTTACTGAAAGAGGGCACTCAAAGAAGGAGACAGACAATGGCAACAGGATAATCTCAGAAAAGGGTTTTTTTTTTGTACCAGAAATTTCTTTGGCAATTTGGTGAAACCTATGAACACCTTCTCAGAAAAATTTTTAATGTACTTGTTTTTTAAATTGAGGTATAATTTATATATAGTGAAATGTATAGACAGTAAGTTCAGCATTCAATTGACAAGTGTATACCAAGACACAGGACATTTTCATCACCCTAGAAAGTTCTCTTGTGCCCCTTTCCCAGTCAATTTTCTCCATAAGAAGCAACCATTTATCTGATTTTAATCACTATACATTAGTTTTGCTTATTCTAAAATTTCAGAATGTTTTAAAATAAAATTTAAAATGTAAGTAGAAAATTGTGATAGGTAATATATGTGCTTCTTTATTGATGATTTAAATAACAAAATTGATGGCATAGTGATTACCATAATATAAAAACAATGAGTGTAAACAACAGTGTGAGGTATCTACAACAACAGAAAATGAAAATATCTGTAGCTTTAAGTAACAGAAAGAAAGTTAGTGATACTGATAACATCACCACTATTACCTACATTCAAAATGGAAGGAAATGCTAAATTTCAGTTTGAGGCTAGTAAAAATAAAAATGTATTTTTTTTCCTATACAAGTTCACAGGAGGGTCCTAAGGATCCTTGCCTTGAAATAACATCATAATTTCTATTATTTACGATTTGAGGAGATTCCCCAAAAGTACTCAGGGGCATAACAATTGTTAAATTTTCTCTGTGGTATGGCAAATAAATAATTCATCCTTTGGTCCTCCTGTGGCAATATGGATTCTAGCCAGGCCCACACTTACTCTCTCTTCAAGCTTGCACACCTGTGTAGGAGCTATCTGTTCAACGAACATTTATGATGTATCTTCCATGGGCTAGGCTTATGATATGGTTTGGATCTGTGTCCCCACCCAATCTCATGTCGAATCATAATCCCAATGTTAGAGGTGGGGCCTGGTGGGAGGTGATTGGATCACGGGGCGATTTCCCCCTTGGTACTGTGTTATGATAGTGAGTGAGTTCTCATGAGATCTGGTTGTTTGAAAGTGTGTGGCACCTCACCCCCAAAACAGCTTCTTCCTGTTCCATCCATGTGAGGTGCTAGCTCTTCCTTTGCCTTCTGCCATGACTATAAGTTTCCTGAGGCCTCCCAAGAAGCTGAGCAGATGCCAGCATCATGCTTCCTGTACAGCCTGCAGAACTGTGAGCCAATTAAACCTCTTTTCTTTATAAATTACTCAGTCTCAGATATTTCTTTACAGCAGTGTGAGAAGAGACTAATACAGCTGAGCAGTAGGTACTTATAATAAGTAAAAATGGTCCCTGCCCATCAAGGAACATTCAGTTTAGAAGAGAGAAACACAGGAAGTTCTTCAAAATTAGCTCAAACTTTTCCTGGGTAGTCTCATGTTTCCATGATCTCGGTTAACACATACCTCACCTCCTGCCTGAATGGACCCTGCCTTGCTACAGGCTCCCACTGGGTCCTGCACAGTTCTAGTACAATGCCTGGAAGACATCATTGCACTAATTTGTGTAGAATAAATTTCTCAACCCTATCAGACCCGACCCAACACCACCCCCCACTTCAGAACATATTTTGTAAAGATCCCATTACTATTCTAAAGCAAAATTCATAGGTAATATTTCTACACATATAAATAGAAATAAAGGGAGAAATAATATTCATCAAAATATGTACTTAATATGTTTAAATATGCTCAGACCCAACTATACCAAAGACATAATGAAGTACTCTCAGACTTGTGCCTACTTATAATGAGTAAGCTTGGACTTAAGAAAATTTACATTTGAAGCCATTCTATACAGAAAGCAGAAGATCAGAAGTATGGATGGAACTTGAATAAAACTTAATGTTACATAAGAAATAATAGATTAGATTTATTTGAATATAAGAGGAAGAAAAACTGAAATAGAGATAACATACCAAGACAAAGTACTGACTGTTGAACTGGTGAAAATTAGGAAGTACATTATTTCTACAAATGAAATGTCCTTATTAAAAGTGTAGTGTCAAAATTATCCCCTATAACATGAAAAAGTGCGAGATTAAAGTCTACCAGAAAACATATCTCCTGCTTCAAAATTCCCATAATTTAGACTATAGTCAATATATACATTAACTTAAAAAGACTTCAAAGATCATACTGTCGAAAGGTGATGAGAAATAGAGGATGGATTAGGCAAAATATTAATACAAGAAACTATAGAGATGATATGTGGCTGACCTCTGTAGTTAATCTGACTGACACTCAAAACAGGCAATTCAAAACTATAATTAGAATACTTTAAACATTTTAAATCTTCACATAATTTCTTATCATTGTGGTACAAAAATATAATTTTTAATATTTAGTTTGACAATAGCAAATATACCTAAACCACTTTTGCTTAAAAAAAAATGAGATCCCTGTATTTTGTGTGCTTCTGTTAATTCAGTAACATTTGGTTCTAGTCCTAAGGACTCTCAAACTTTGTTACATATTTTCCATCAGCTTTGCTGCTTTTGCAATAACTAAATACTGCATTTAATTAAAATCCCTTTTAATTAAAATTGTTGGAAATGCTCTAAGTAATTCCTTAGGAAAAAACAGGTATGAAAGTCTCAACTGAATCTAAAACATTTACGGATTAAATGTAGCTCTAGCTGCAAAGATTTTTGTTTACTTTGGTTTTTTTTTCTTTTTTTTTGAGATGGAGTCTCCCTCTGTCGCCAGCAGCGAGTGCAGTGGTGCGATCTCAGCTCATTGCAACCTCTACCTCCCAGGTTCAAGTGATTCTCCTGACTCAGCCTCCTGAGTAGCTGGGACTACAGGCATGCACCACCATGCCCAGCTAATTTTTGCATTTTTAGTAGAGACAGGGTTTCACCATGTTAGCCAGAATGGCCTCGATCTCTTGACCTTGTGATCCGCCCGCCTTGGCCTCCCAAAGTGCTGGGATTACAGCCATGAACCACAGCGCCTGGCTTATTTGTTTTTTTTTTTTTAGCTCAATTTTCCCTTCCTCCACATGTTCATTAACAGGTTCCATGTATACTCCAAATATACTTCATGTATATTCAAATTCTTAAATACCTTGTATATACAATCTTTAAATATAATCACCCTATCTTAAAAATAGCATGCATAGGAGTGACATCATCAAAAATGGTGGCATAGGAGATTCCAAAGGCCCATCCCTCCACAGAAAAAAGCTGGCAAAATCTGTCACAATCAACTTTATCAAAAATCTGGAAAACAGTCAAGGGTTTTCACCAATCAACAGAATGTTTAATCAAGGCAAGAGCAAGTGAAATCTGGTAGGAGAACTTGGTATATTTTAATTTACCCTTGCCCCATTCCCTTCTTCCTGGCTCGGTGGCAGTAATTCCCAGAGTGGGTTACTGGTGCTGGAGATAACAGAGTAGACTCTGCTCTCAAAGAATTGTATTGTTTTGACCTGGTGAGTGGCTCTCTGAAGGACTAACACAAAAGGCTTGCCTTTATTTCACCTGATTTGGAACTCTCTCAGGGTGGAAAAGTGGTTACCTGGAGGTTATCTGTTAAAAACATTGAAAGGTAACGAAGCAGCAGATGCAGCGTGCAGCACAGGAAGTCAGTTGGGGCAAACAAACTGCTTGCTGAAAAGCTCCAAACAAGCAGGATGGGAAGGCAAAGGCCGTTATGAACTGCCTGGCTGAGAGCTGAAGGCATATCCCGACATACACCTACAGAGTTTAATGTTTTGTTTTGCTCCAGGCATTTAAGGAAATCTCTGACAAATCACTAGCTGACCACTAAGCTAATGGAATGGAGACTTCAGTGACTACAAACAACAAAAAACATGGTATTTCCAAAAAAGCTTTAGAAAAGTCACTAAACAAACAAACAACTCACCACAAGCAGCAACAACAAATCCTGGGAAGATGGAAGAATCTCATTTCTAGAGTTACCATATTAAAATATTTGAAATGTCCAGTTTTCAACAAAAAATTATGAGGCATGCGAAAATACAAGAAAGTATGGTCCATTCACAGGAAAAAAAGGAAATTAACAAACTGTCACTGAGGAGGTTCAGACACTGGACTGACTAGATAAAGACTTTCCATCAATTATCTTAATATGCTCAAAGAACTAAAGAAAACCTAAATAATGTGTGTCACCGAACAGAGAATACCAATGGCAGACAGAAATTATAAAAAGGAACAAAAAAAATTCTGGAGCTAAAAAGTATAATAACTGAAATGAAAAACTCAGAGGGGAGACGGTGAGTGTTCAACAGCAGATTTGGGCAGGCAGAAGAATTAAGGAACTTGAAGGTAGGCCAAATGAAGTCTAAGAGATCTGTGGGTACCATCAAGCCCATCAATATATGCATAACAAGGCCAGGTGCCATAGCTCACGCCTGTAATCCCAGCACTCTGGAAGGCCAAGGCGGCCGGATCACGTGAAGTCAGGAGTTTGAGACCAGCCTGGCCATGGTGAAACCCCGTCTCTACTAAAAATACAAAAATTAGCTGGGCGTGGTGGTGCATGACTGTAGTCCCACCTACTCTGGAGGCTGAGGCAGGAGAATTGCTTGAACCTGGGAGGCCGAGGTTGCAGTGAGCCAAGATTGTGCCACTGCACTCCAGCCTGGACAACAGAGTGAGACTCCATCTCAAAACAAACAAACAAACAAACAAACTATATATATATATATATATATATATATATATATATATATATATGCATATGCATATGCATAACAAGAGTCTCAGAAGGGGAAGAGAAGAGACAGGGGCAGAAAAAATATCTTAAGAGATAATGGCCAATAACTTCCCAAATTTGATAATACATGCATTTACACATCCAAGAAGCTCAACAAACTCCAAGCATTTACACATCCAAGAAGCTCAACAAACTCCAAGCAGAAAAACTCAAGGAAAGCCACATCAAGATACATACTAATCAAACTGCTGAAAGCTAAAGACAGAATCCTGAAAGCAACAAGAGAGAAGTGATTCATTACATATAAGACATCCTCAATCAGATTAACAGCCAATGTCTCATCAGAAACCATGAAGAATAGAGCACTGGGAGGATATGGTTAAAGTGCTGAAAGACTTCTAAAAAAATCTGTCCACCAAGAATTCACTATCTGCCAAAAATATCCTTCAAAAATGAAGGTGAAATTAAGACATTTCCAGATAAAAACTGAGGGAATTGTCTGGACACAGTGGCTCATGCCTATAATCCCAGCACTTTGGGAGGCTGAAGTGGGCAGATCACTTGAGCCCAGGAGTTTGAGACCAACCTGGACAACATGGCGAAACCCCATGCCTACCAAAAATACAAAAAAATCAGCTGGGCTTGGTGGCACATGCCTGTAGTCCCAGCTACTCAGGAGACTGAGGTGGATGGATCACCTGAGCCCAGGGAGGCTGAGGCTGCAGTGAGCTATGATGGCACCACCACACTCTAGCCTGAATGACAGAGTAAGACCCCATCTCAAAAACAAACAAACAAACAAACAAAACAAAACAACTTGAAGGAGTTAATAATTAGTAAACCTGGACTACGAAACTGCTAACAGTGTTTCAGGCTGAAATGAAAGGATGCTAGACAGCACCTTGAAGCCACACGAACAAATAAAGAATACCAATAAAGGTAACTACATAGGTAAATATAAAAGTTAGTTTGTGACGTCTCCTTTTTTTCTACATAATTTAAAAGACAAATGCATCAAACAACAATTATAAATCTACATTAATGGATATACAATGTATAAAGATGAAATCTGTGACAATGACAACATAAAGGGGGAGAAACAGAGCTGTATAGAAGAAGTTCTATACAGTATTAAAACTAAAGTGGTATTAATTCAAACTACATTGTTATAAATTTCAGATGCAAATTGTAATCCCCAAGGAAACCACTAAAAAAAACCCCTAAGAACTATACAGAAAATAATAAAAGTGGCACACTTCAAAAAGCTCAATTAAACAAAAAAGAAGACAGTAATGGAGGAATTGTGGAAGTAAAAAAGTATAGAAAACAAATACCAAAATAGCAAAAGTCCTTCCTTATCAGTAAGTGTAAATGGATTAAACTTTCCAATTAAAGACAAAAGTTGGCAAACGGATAAGAAAGACATGATTCCAACTCTATTCTGTCTATAACTCACTTTAGATCCAAAGACAAACATAGGTTGAAAATGAAAAAATAAACTAAGATGCTCCATGCCAAAGGTAAGAAACTGCTTAGATGAGTTGCACAACTTTATGAATGTGCTGCCAGTGAATCATACACTTCAAAATGGTTAAAATGGTAAATTTTATGTGTACTTTGCCACTGCCACAACAAAAAATAAGCATCCATATGTGTGGTAGTCTTCAAGATGGCCCCTGTGGCCAGGTGCGGTGGCCCAGGCCTGTAATCCCAACACTTTGGGAGGCTGAGGTGGGTGGATCACTTGAGCCAGAAGTTCGAGACCAGCCTGGCCAACATGGCAAAACTCCATCTCTACTAAAAACACAAAAATTAGCCAGGCATGGAGGTGTGTGCCTGTAGTCCCAGCTACAAGGGAGGCTGAAGCACAAGAATCACTGGAACCCAGGAAGCGGAGGTTGCAGTGAGCTGAGATCGCACTGCACTCCAGCCTGGGCGACAGAGCAAAAAAAAAAAAAAAAGATGGCCCCCAGTGATCTCTGCCTTGTGCAGGGTATTCATGCCTCCTTGTGCAGTCCTCTCCCACAGTGTACTAGGTCAGCCTGCATGACCAGTAACTAACAGCTCAAGTAATAGCAAATCACTTCCAAGATTAGGTTATAAAAAAGACAACTTCTGTCTTGGGTATTCATTTATTCATTCATTCCCTATGCCTTTCAGATCATTCGTCCTGCAAGAAGTAGGTTGACATGTTACAGAAGCTTATGGAGAGGCCCACGTTGTAAGGAACTAAAGTCTCTAACACACCAGCCAGGGCTGTACTGCCAACAACTATGTGAGTGAGTTTGAAAGTGGATTTCCCACAGTCCCAGGTGAGCCCTGAAAGATAACTGCAGCTCCAAATGACATCTTGACTACAACCTTGTGAGAGCCCTATGCTAGAACTACCCAGCTAAGCTGCTATCAGATTAATGACCCTCAGAAACAGTAAGAGATAACACATTTATTGTTTTAAGCAGCTAAACTTTGGGATAATTTGTTAGGCAGCAATAGATAACTAATACAACATGAGAGCAATATATTTTCAAAGGAATAAATTTAGGCTTATCTTAGGTAGAAATAAAATTCCTAGTGAGATTTATTTTCTTTTTTCTTTTTTTGACACAGGGTCTCACTCTGTCACCCAGGCTGGAGTGCAGTGGTGTGATCTCGGCTCACTGCAACCTCTGCCTCCTGGTTCAAGTGATTGTCATATCTCAGCCTCCTGAGTAGCTGGGACTACAGGCATGTGCCACCAGGCCTGGCTAATTTTTGCATTTTTTGGTAGAGATGGGGTTTCACCGTGTTGGTCAGGCTGGTCTCGAACTCCCAACCCCAAGTGATCCTTCCACCTTGGCCTCCCAAAGTGCTGGGATTACAGGTATGAGCCACTGTGACCAGCCTTACTTTCAAATAATATATGATTGTAGATAAATACTATAATTCCTTCACTTTAATGTGATTTATGTCATCTTCTTGCAGTTTCAAATATATTTAATGATATGATAATATCTGTTAACTTTTTACTTATCACTGATTGAATAAATATTATGTAATCTAGTAACACTATGAATTGTTGTTAGGGATATGGAACAACTGTAACTATCATACCTGCTGTTAGAAGTATAAATTGAAATAACCACTTCAGAAAACTTTTTAGTAATAGCTATAAAAGCCAAACATATGCCTACATGTGACCCAAAAATTCTATTTCTAGATATATATCTACGAGAGATGAGTATAAATGTGGTATAAGAATGTTCATAGTAGCTTTATTCATATAGCCAAAATCTGGAAACAAATCAAGTAACAACAGAAGAGATAAATTGTCTGTAGACACACAATGGAATACTACACAACAATAACAAAGAACTTCTGCTACATTCAAAACGTGGATGAATCTCATAGGAATAACACCAATTTAAAGAAGGTAACACAAGAATGCATACTATATGATTCCATTTACATGAAGTTCAAGAAAAGACAAAAATCTATGATGATGTAAGTCAGAATAGTGGTTATACCTGATAGAAATGGTATAATGACTAAAAAGGGGTATGGGAAACATTTTGGGGTACTGGAAATGTTATACAGGGTATCCATAAGGCTGGGGAACAGGATAAATATGTGCTAGTTACATTTTCAAATAATATGTTCAATATCTTTTTCTTCAACCTCAATATATTTTTCCAAGTAAAACACTTCTAAATTTAAAGCAGTGGCCCCAATTGTGAATATTTTTAAAAATACAATAAACGCACTGTTTTCTTTATGCTTCCAGGTTTTTTGGACACTCTGAATTGTATTTATTGTATACATGAAAACATAATAGGCACAGTATTAAAAAAATATAATCAATATACTGTTTAAAAATAAGTTTATCCTATATTTTCCAACTATGCAGATATTCTATTTCTAGATCATGGTGGCAGTTACATGTGTGTAGGTGTATGCATGTAAATAAATTCATAAAGCTGTGCATTATATGTTATACTGCAATATATGTGCACACACACATACAATAATGAACAAAATATTTATTAACATTTAATATGAAAAGTTATCTTTTATGAATAGGGTAAGGTAAAATCATATTCTTCTTCATTGTTATTATATTGTTTACATTACAAACTTTACAAAATAATCCATCACTTAAGGGATTTTGCGTTTTATTGTGTTTTTTTTTTTTTTTTTTTTTTTGAGACAGGGTCTCGATCTGTCACCCAGGCTGGAGTACAGTGATGTGATCACTGCTCAGTGCAGCCTCAAACTCCTGGGCTCAAGCATCTCACTCTGTCACCCAGGCCGGAGTGCAGTGGCACGATCATAGCTCACTGCAGCCTCAAACTCCTGGACTCAAGCAGTCTTCCTGCCTTAGCCTCCCAAAGTGATGGGATTACAGGTGTGAGCCACTATGCCCAGCCTACACTTTATTTTTTAATTAACAGCACTGATAACCATATTCACTGATTTGTGAAGCCTCTCACTAGGATTCTTAGAGACTAAGCGCCATCAATGACCAATATAAAGAATTCTTAAAATATCTCATGCTACCTTAAAAAGAAATTTGTCTCTAAACTCACATTGCTGAACAACAGCTGTTTTCTATCGGTTGCACAAGCAATGACAATGTAAAAAGTGCTAAGAGTAGTTTGGGTTTGTGTGTAAAATGGAATTAGGTCCTAGGCTGAATAATTATAAACATATTTTAACAAATGAATGTCTAGTGAGATATCCTAAAGTTGTGCTGGACATATGAGACATCTAGTATGCCTGGCCCCTGACTACAAAGTGCCAGCTACACTTTCCCATTAATATGGCAACCAAAAACTTTCTTTCACTTTTTCAAAGGGTCCACTAGAGGGCAGTACTAACCCCAGTGAGAACCCTGGCATTCTCATTTAGCTTCCAGAACTCCCTTGGGAACAGGAAACACATTCTTTTAATCTCAGAATCCCTAATGTTGAACAGAGTGCCTAACGTGTACAGTAGGTGTTCAGTAGTCATGATGGACCAAGGCTATGATAGAGGGTGCCATGGAGGCACAAAGGAGGGTGAGATCAATCTAACAAGGGAACCGAAGGGAGAGGGAAATCTTCACAGGTGATGTAAGAAAGTTGCCTTAATAGAGGATTTGGGGCTAGGTGAGCTGGGAGGAGGTGGGTGGTAGAGGATGTGATACATCAAAGACAAGAGAATAAATCAAGAAAGAGTAGAAAACAGGAACCAGGAAACACGATTTAAAACATGAGAGAAGGAA
The DNA here is from genome assembly GCF_000001405.40 of Homo sapiens. Classification (NCBI taxonomy): domain Eukaryota; kingdom Metazoa; phylum Chordata; class Mammalia; order Primates; family Hominidae; genus Homo; species Homo sapiens. The sequence goes on from NC_000001.11 coordinate 212,750,423, forward strand.
GGGAAATTCCCAGGACGATGATGAAAGGAACAGGCAGGATGAAAATTTTGCACCAGGCCTAGACAGCAGCCAGTCCAGACTGGAATAGGAGGACAGAAGGTTCCCAGAGAAGTATCTCCGAGGAAAAGATAAAGTTTAAAAATGGATCTGAGAGATAACCTTAAGTGTTTGCCATATTGAGATGAATTTTACAGTTCTGTTAGACACAACAGAAAACAAAGCAAACAGAAAAATAGGCCAGGTATGGTGAGCCACACCTGTAATCCCAGCACTTTGGGAGGCAGAGGCAGGTAAATCACCTGAGGTCAGGAGTTCGAGACTAGCCTGGCTAACATGGTGAAACCCTGTCTCTACTAAAAATACAAAAAATTAGCCGGGCATGGTGGCGGGCGCCTGTAATCCCAGCTACTAGGGAGGCTGAGGTGGGAGGATGGCTTGAACCTGAGAGGCAGAGGTTGCAGTGAGCCGAGATAGCGCCACTGCACTCCAGCCAGAGTCACAGAGCAAGACTGCCTCAAACGAAAAAAAATAATAATAAAGCAATTATTGTTCCAAAAGGGGTAGAAAGCTATTCAAGAAAGAATATACTCGTAGTAATAATTATCTGACTCAGGAACAAAATAATAATTACCTGACTCAGATTGAAGAACACTTACATAGTCATAAAAATACAAATATGAAATACTATTGATTTTTTTTACAAGAATGAAAGATTAAAAGTGAAGCTACTGAGTATAGATTATTCATTTGAGAAACTTAGTTATAAAAGGAAGAAGGGTACAAGGAAGAAAAACACAATGGCATGAAAACTTTCCCTACCTGTTCCATGGACAGCCCATTCCTATAGTAGTATGGGCTGACATACATTCTCAATCAATCTTATGCAATTTTAGCAACCCTGGGAGGCAAGTGGGTTTCATCAGCCTCCTTTTGTAGGTAAAGAAACAGAAGCTGAGAAATGTATCTAGACTTGAATAAGAACTCACATCTCCCTCCTAGAATCCAAAGCACACACTCTTCTACATTCTATAACTTTCCAAAATACTGCTTTGTCAGGAATTATACTGTCCTCATAAGAATATAAGTTAACTAATGGTAAAAAGTTAGCTTCAACATAATGAAAATCTCTTGAAATAATTGTGCCTGGTAAAGAACTAAAACATTAAAACTCTAGAACAATTATAGAATTAAATGTTTAAACTATTAACTTTATGGTACCTTTTTTTCTTTTTAAATGAATTAAGTCCTTTACATTTAAAACTAAGTAGCACCAATAATTAATAAAACCATTTTTTTTAAAGACAAAAGAAGGAAAACACAACTAAAAATGGTCACTAAATATATGAATATATTATCTGTAAATGCATGAAAAAGGCATTTTTCCAACAATATCTGCTTAGGAAATTTCAAAATATATATACTTTTCACTCCCTCACTCAAGATTATTCTAAATGAATTTTTTCACATTTTGCAACTAGTAAGATCATACAATACTCCTGATATACAAGTATGTGACTTAAGACTGTCTCACATGCAGATGGCTGGTCCATGCCACACAGGAGATGGGATGGGCTTTCTCGAGGACCATTCTCAATGTCTTCTCTCTAGAACCTCGTGACACCACTACTTACCCTTCTCACCACCAACAATGGTGTTAAAGGAGCCAAACTATTCCATATAAAATCCTACTTAAATGTCATATAGTGGAACTAATATGCATCTGAAATATGATTTTCCTAATTTTTTCATCATAAATGTATAGTATTTCAGCTACATTATAGATTAAGGTTTAATAAGCCTGTAAAGGGTTGCCTAGAAACATATTTATTTATTTATTTATACATTTTTTTCCCAGTGGGAAGTGTATTTCAAATTCCAAAACTCAGACTTACATGAATTTTTAAAGTGTAACTATTTGTGAGTGGCTACCTGTAAATATTGTGACAGTGGCTTAAGCAAGACAGCATTATTAGGAAAGAAGCGGAACTGCCTCTGAGTCCTCTGCCTGTAGGGTCAGCAAAAGAACTGGAAGTATCATTAAGTTTACCATACAGAAACTTAAAATAGCTCCTTGCCATCGCTACATGTTTAGCGAAGGACAGGGAAAAAAGGGATCTTCAGTTAATTTCAAAGAACTTTTAAAAAAAGGCAATATGGAAGCAATTATTCATTACAACAGGATTATAAAAGGTTGTAAATGTCAAATGAGACCACATCTTATTGGTGGACAGCTCATCAGTAGATTGCTATAAGGATATTTTTAAAAAGAGTTTGCTCTTAAAAATGTGGAAGTTAGGCATCCTTGAGAACACTGCCTTCCCTAGTCACTTGCTTTCTAAAACACAGGGAAATGAAAAAGTGGAAATGAAAGATTGAGTAATCAACCTAGTTTTGCTTTCAGGTCACTGTACTGACTAAACTAGGAAACATGAACTTCCAAAAGCCTGCCCAAATTCAGAAATTCAGCAAAAAAAAAAAAAAGCACTAAGTGAGTACTTCCTTTCTATTTCCAATGTATTTTATGAATATAAACAAGCAATCACGCACAGCATCAGATGTGTGGCTTCTACTGGTTTCTAAAGAGGTAATTAAGCCATTAGAACCAAGAATTAGAAAGCAGCATCCCTGGTGAAAATGAAACCAAAAACACAGCAGTGATTTGTGATTTTCTGAAAGATAACCCTTTGCTACAATTTATAGAGATGTGTTGAACCCATTTGCTCAGTAGATGAAATCCTCTGCAGCACACCTTCCCACCTACACCTCACCACCTCCTTCAGTACCATGTTGCACCTCTCTTAAGGCACACTTTCAAACTCCTGACCCTCGCTCGTTATTATCTGGCCTCAGCCAAGTTTTTGACATTGTCTTGCAATGCTTCTTCCCTCTATTACTCACTTCACTACAGCCTCTCTGGTCTTTTGTTCCATGAATACTCAAGCTCATTCTTGATTTAAGAACTTTATTCTAGCTCTTCCCTCTGCTTGACAGCTCTTTTTCTTGATCATCACCAGATAAATTCCTTCCTGTTACTACCTCAGAAAAGTGTTTCCCCATCACCTAAACACACCACCCTAAAGCACTGATGTCACTTATTTATTTTTATATTTATTACTTTTCTTCTCCCACTAAAATATAAACTCTATAGAGTAAGAACTTTGTGCTGCTCACTAATATTACATCTGCCACATTGAGAACAGTTCTGTCATACTGTAGCCATTCAATATATACAACTGAATGGACCAATGAGTAACAGTCACTCATGATGTATTTATTGGGCATGCTGCTATATGCTGGCTATATATAATGTAAATATAATATTAAAAAACTCATGGAGCTTTCAGTTTTGTGAGAGAGCATAAACAAGAAAATAAACACAAATACTTATAAGCTGTAACAAGTACTATTAAGGAAATAAACAGGTGTCATGATAAACAACTGGGGAGAGTATTTTAATGAGGGTGGTTAGGTAAGATCTCTCTGAGGAGGTAACATTTAAATGAGAAAAGAGAACTGGGAAGATGTCAAACTTGGGCAAGGGGGCATGCATGTGTGACAGTGAGGCACTTTCAAAGAACTGAAAGACTGGCAGCAAACAGGAAAGTGCCTGAAATAAATCTGGAGAGGTAGGTAGGGGCCAGATCACCTAAGGGAATGCTAAAAGTCTAGAGTTTAGGATTTTAAGCAGAGGACTGAAAACTGATTTGCATTTTTAAAAGTATCCTAAGACTTCCTAGTCAAGTTGATTTCAGTAGTGCATAAAACTCCCTTCCTATGTCCAAAAGCATCAGTGAATATAGAAAATTAAAATGACATATCCTAAAGCATATACAAAATAAAACATTTCAATGAACCAGAAAAAAAGGAGAAGAGAAAAAGCTGCAAGTCAGGCTAAAGCTGCAGGCCTACCGGTAAGCAGAAGTAGCCAGGAATTGGCCTCCTGCAAGATAAAAGGTGTTCGAAGTGCTCCAGAAGAACAGGAAACGAAGAGACAGCTTCACTGTTTGAAACCGAGGGCTGAGACAGAGTTTACCCACCCTGAAAAGGTGGCTGAAAAAAACTGCCACTAACCAGCCCGGCGCGGTGGCTCACACCTGTAATCCCAGCACTTAAGGAGGCTGAGATGGGTGGATCACGTGAGGTCAGGAGTTGGAGACTAGCCTGGCCAACATGGTGAAACCCCGCCTCTACTAAAAATACAAAAATTATCCGGGCGTGGTGGTGGGCACCTGTAATCCCAGCTACTCAGGAGGATGAGGCAGGAGAATCACTTGAACCCAGGAGGCAGAGGTTGCAGTGAGCAACCATTACATTCCAGCCTGGGCAACAAGAGTAAAATTCTGTCTCAAAAAAAAAAAAAAAACCAACTCAAAAGACAAAACTGCTCCTAACCGCTGCCAGGAAGCAAAGCTTACTTAAAGCTAAACCAGAAATGATGGGAAGCAGATAATGCCTCCAAGCCTGGGCCTGGACCAATCTCCAGTGTCACACTGGGACAGAGGCCCTCTGTTGCCAGTGTTAAGATATGGCTCCAGCCTGGGATTGTTTGGGGCCAGATGGAAGGCAACCAAACCTACTAGACAGAGGGAGTGAAAGCAGTGGTAGACAGATATGCACATGAAAAATTCTAGTCAAGAAGCACTTGCAAATCAAAAGTCTAAAATACATGAAGAAATTAAAACCATGAAAGACAGCCAGTATAACCAATGTCAGGGAGAGGAATTTACTGCAGATGAAATGAAAATAGAGCAATATAAAAATGACTTTAAAATGCTACACAGCTCCAATAGCTAAAGAAAATCATAAGACATTGCAAAAGAAAAATAGGTTATAAAATAAAAACATAAAATACAAAAATAGAAGAAATGAGAAAGAAGCAAAGTTGAAGGATTAGGTTAAAGATTTTCTAGAATATAGGAGTCCTCAGATAAAAGTATATATGGAGATGTTAATGGAAGATGGGAGAAAAGAGGAATCTAGCAAAACCAAATAATCTCTCACAAAAAACAAAAATACATATATAATATTATTTAAATAAAATTGTCTCTGTGTATATAAGCAAGAAAAAAATTACCAATAAAAACCATGGAGTTGAACTATGTTACATGTTGAGTGAAAAAAGAAAAACAATGACAGAATAAAATGCATTATGTAATATTTATATAAACAACTAAAAAAACCCCTGTGTCTACCTATGTGCATACAAATGCATTGATAAAGATCTAAAATTAGACACAGCAAACTGATAATAGTTGCCTATTTGAAGATGTGTGGGATGTGACAGATTGGGAGGCGAAGTTATGGTATATTTCATATAAATATGAATATGTATATATTTTCATATATATCTATATGTAATTATTAAAAATTTTACATTAAGCTTGCATTTATTAAAAGCACAAGAAATACAATTTAAAAGATAACCACAATTTAAAACAATAAGGTTAGAGCTACGGCAGTCGAATGGAGGATGTCTACCATAAACTTAAGCTAGGAAATTGCAGATAATTTGAACACATGAATAAATTTTCTGTAAATTATGCCCCCAAAATGTCCAGTGCATATTTATTCCTGTAACAATTATATAAGCACAGAAAAAAGGATAAATGAATTCATACCAGGTTAATGTTGGATATCTAAAGGGGTGACAGGAAGAGAGAGAAGAAACCAAAAACAAAAAGTAAAAATACAATGCTATCCTTGTTGGGTTTTTTTGAGACAGGTTCTCACTCTGTCACTCAGGCTGGAGTGTAGTGGCAGGACCATAGCTCACTGCAGCCTTGACCTCCTGGGTTCAAATGATCCTCCCTCTGCAGCTTCCCGAGTAGCTGGAACTACAGGCATGCACCACCATGCTTGGCTAATTTTTGTATTTTTTGTAGAGACGGGGTTTTGCCATGTTGCCCTAGCTGGTCTCAAACTCCTGTGCTCAAGCGATCAGCTTCCCAAAGTGCTGGGCTTACAGGTGTGAGCCACTGCATCCGGCCGACTTTGGTTTTTAAAAGGGACAATGTAATATGTAATTCAATCCTATTTATATAAAATTATGTATTGTTTGCAAAAATATAAATATTTATTGAGTGTACCATGTCAGAAAATAATCTTAAGAGTCAGGGGCTGGGCGCAGTGGCTCATGCCTGTAATCCCAGAACTTTGGGAGGCCGAGGTGGGAGGATCACCCGAGTTCAAGACTTTGAAACCAGCCTGGCCAATATGGTGAAACCTTGTCTCTATTAAATATGCAAAAGTTAGCCAGGTGTGATGGCGGGTGCCTGTAATCCCAGCTAGTCTAGAGGCTGAGGCAGGAGAATCACTTGAACCTGGGAGGTGGAGGTTGCAGTGAGCTGAGAGCGTGCCACTGCATTCCAGCCTGGGCGACAGAGCAAGGCTCCGTCTCAAAAAAAAGAAAAGAAAAGAAAAAAGAGGGAAAACTGGGCATCCCAAAGTTCTTGCTCACAGGGAGCTTACAATACTGTGGGGAGGGAAGAGGAAAATAAGGAGAAATTATATAATATCTGTAAGTGGCAGAGAAAAATAAAGCAGGTTAAAGGGATACAGTATGATCAAGGGAGTCATAAGAGAATCTGACACAGGTTGTAAGGTGTATCAGATGAAGTGACACTTTGAACAGAGAGCTGAATGAAGTGCAAGAGTCAGGCAGGTAGTTTCGGAGAGCAGTTTCAAATACAGGGAGTTGCGAGTATGAAAGTCGTAGGGCCAGTGTGTTCTTGGTATGTCCTGAAATAGCAAGAATATTAGTGTTAGTGGAGCACAGTAAGCGAGGGTGAGATGGTAAGTGAACACTGTCAGAGATGAGATCAGAGAAGCAGCCGGGGACCATATCATTGAGGGCCTCTTAGACCAAAGGAATTATAATGGGGAGCCACTGGAGGGCCTTCAACAGGGAGTGACATAATCTGATTATGCTTTAAAAGAAATTGTTTGGATGCTGTGTGAAAAGTAGAACTGGATGGAAGGAGACCAGGGTGTTAGTCTGTTTTATTACTATAAAGGAATATGTAAGACTGGGTAATTTATAAAGAAAAGAGGTTTAATTGGCTCACAGTTCGGCAGGCTGTACAAGCATAGCACCAACATTTGCTCAGCTTCTGGTAGGGCCTCAGTGAGCTTTCAATCATGATGGAAGCCAAAGGAGGAACGGTACATCCATGGCAAGAGATGGAGCAAGGATGTGGATGTGGGGAGGTGCCACAGTCTTTAAAACAACCAGCTCTCAGGTGAATTCAGAGGGAGAGCTCACTCATTACCACAAGGAGGGCACCAAGCCACGGATGAGGGATCTGCCCCCAAGACCCAGACACCTTGCACTAGGTCCATCTACAACATTGAAGGTCCCATTTCAACCATGAGATTTAGAAGGAACAAAACATCCAAACCATATTAATCAGTGAGAAAGCTATTATAGTGGTCCTAAGCGAATATGGTGACATGGATAAGAGCAGGAGAGACAGATTTGGTTGGTAAGCAGCAGGATTTGAAATATGTTTCCAAGGTAAAGGCAGCAGGATCTACTGATGGACTGAGGATGTACAGGCATCATGCAATATATCATAATACTGGTTACTGGTCATAAACATGCTAATAGTGTTTATCTCTGGGCATATGATTTCATGTGATTTAAACTTGTTTCTTATGCTTCTAACATTTTTGGAATGTGCATGTATTGTTCATACAAGCAAGAAAAAGCAATAATATTATTTTCAGTGTGAAATAAATCAGAAAATGTACATATCAAACACCATACTAGAAAATAAACATCTAGCTATACTGTGGTAAACTTCAGAGCATTAAGAATATAGAGAAAATCCGAAAAGTCAGAAGAGAAAGAACAATATCTATAAAGGAATGGTAATCAGATTCTCAAGACACTGCTCATCAACAATGAATGTCAGGCATCCAGATTAGAAAGAAAAGAAGTAAAATATCTGTTTGCAGATGACATGATCTTTTATATATAAAATCCTTTAAAACATCCATTAAACAACTATTAGAACTAATAAATGAGTTTAACATGGTTGTAAGATACAAGATTAATATACAAAAATTAATTCTATCTCTACACAGTAGCAAAGAAGAAACCAAAAATAAAATTTAAAAATAATTCAATTTACAAGGGCATCAAAAGAATAAAGTATTTAGGAATAAGTTTCACAAAAGAAGTGCTAAAAGCTGGAAAACACTGTTGAAATAAATCAATTTCCAGATGGAAAGCCATCCATTATTCAGGGATCAGAAAACTTAACATTAAGATAGCATTACTCTCAAAGTGATCTACAATTTCAACACAATTCCTACCAAAATCCCAGCTGACTTCTTGACAGAAATTGACTGACTGATCCCAAAATTCATATGGAATTTGAATGTAAGGGATCAGAAGAGCCAAAACAACCTTGAAAAAGAAGAACAAGGTTGGAAGACTCATACTTTCTGATTTCAAAATTTCTTACAAAGCTATAATAATCAAGACAGTGTAGTAGTGGCCTAAGGACAGACAAAGATCAATGAAACAGAATTGAGAGTTCAGAAAGAAATCTACATATTACAGTCAACTGATTTCTGACACAGATTCCAACACCATTCAAGCATTTTCAACAAATGGTGCTTAAAACAACTGGATATATACATACAAAAGAATGAAGGTGGAAAACTCTTAGGAGAAAGGCAAGCATAAATCTTTATACTTTTATATTAGACAACAGTTTCTAAAATATAAAACTAAAACCAAAGCAACCAAAGGAAAAAAAAATAGGTAAATTAGATTTTGCCAAATTTAAAATTTCTGTGCTTCAAAGAACATCATCAAGAAAGTGAGATGGGGAGGGGGCTTCAAGATGGCTGACTAGGGGCACCTGGCACCTGCCTCCTCCACAAAGAAGGACTAAACAGTGGGTAGATAATCACATGTCAAAGACAGCATCCAAGAAAAAACAGTGGAATTCAGCAGAACAGTGACAGGGAACAACTGAGGCATGGGAAGAAAGGGAAGCAGGGAAAATGTAAATGAGAGATCCCACATTTCTACTGCAGAATCCTGCAGTACTAACCACAGGAGAGCCCCTTGGCCCCTGCAGGCCCTAAGACTAGTATAGGGAGCTGTCTGGAGTCCATACAACATTAATTCCAGAGAGATAGCACTGGGTACCTCACATACCCCCAAGGCCCAAGACACCGCAGCATAGCACCATTTTGAGAATTCAACCCCCACCAGACTGTATCCTTCCCTAGGGCCCAAAAGCCCCTACATCTCCACATCCCTGGAGCCTTGCTGACATCCCCACTGCATCCACCTGGAGAGCTGCAGTGGCACAACACTGACTGAACCCAATAGTAAAACCAGGTCCCCGGCACTCTAGCCTACACAGTGTCCTACACCCCAAGGAACCAGCAGTGCAGTGCACCAGGGAGGCTGCCCGTGGGACAGAGGGAGCTGAAGCGCACACTCCTCAGAGCCTGAGAGCCATTTCCCTGGGGCCACCCAGCAGCAAGGCTACTGCGCACTGGCATGTGCCTTTAGTGTGCCTAGGGACAGGCCCACCCAGATGCTGTCCTGGGATCCTGATAATCACCCTGCCCTATCTGTCATGGTGGGTGTGTGAGCACATCAAGACAACAGACCACCAAGACAACAGACCATCGCCAGTGCCCAATCATACTGTCCAGGGCCTGGGGATTGACCTGCCCCGCCAGCTGCTTCTGGGGCACACACACACACACACCATAAGGGAGCTTAACAGCAGGTCCAGCCTGTGGGCCACTGGTACCTGAGCACACTAACCAAGGGCAAAGGGATAGCCCTGCCCTGCCCACCACAACTTTAGGCACACCATCAGGAGGCTAAGATCAGGCCCACCCTGCTCTGCACCACTCTACCACACCAGTGTCTGAGAGCGCCATCTAGGGGCCCAGGAATAGCCTCATTCTGTCTGTTGCTGTGGGCAGGTGCACACACTCAGCCATCAAGGGGCCTGATAACAGGCCCAGCCAACATACTGCGGGTGCCTGAGCATACCGTTTGAGGTCCTGAGGTTCACCCCACTGGCCACTACTGCCGGCATCCACACACTCCTCCCCAGGGCTTGAGGACGGGCCTGACTAGCCTATCATCACCACCACCATCACCGCCAGGACCCCCCTAAATGTGCTCTGGGGGGACTGGCCAGCCCAGTCCATTGCCACCACCACTGCCGCCTGTGCTTGCTGCCTGGGGGCCTGACGGTTGACCCGCCACTGCTACTGCCATCACCAACACCACGCATACTGCCCAGGGACTCATGAAACCACCTGCCTGCCCATCCCATTGCTGTCACTGCTGGTACCTGAGCAAGCCACCTGGAGGCCCAAGAATTGGTCTGCCTGGACCTGATAACACTAGTATCTGTGTACACTGCCAAGGGAACCAAAAATGGATGTATTTGGCATGCCATCACCACCAGTGGGGCCCAAGAACAGGCCTGCCTGGAGTCCCCATCCCAAGTAAAGACCTATCATACCCTCTAGTACCAACCATAGCGTAAGTCACTAAGGAACTCACAAACATCACTGACACTGATTACACCCAAAGAAATCATGCAGAGACTATACTATTGCACACACCCGGAATCAAAGCTAAAGCACCCTACCCAATCAATATTATAGATACAACTACAGGCAAAAGTCTTTTCCTATGAAAGCCAATCTAAAAATCTGAAAGAAGTAACTGTTTCACCAAATGTGCAGGTATCAACTTAAAGACATAAGAAACATGAAAAAGCAAGGAAACATGACACTTCCAAAACAACTATGATAATTCTCCAGCAAAAGATTCCAGTGAAAAAGAAATCTATAGGACAGGCATTGTGGCTCACCCCTGTAATCCTAGCATTTTGGGAGGCTAAGGTGTGTGCATCACCTGAACCTTGGAGTTCGAGACCAGCCTGGGCAACGTGGCGAAACCTCCTCTCCACAAAAATTACAAAAAATTATTAGGGAGGAGGATCGCCTGAACCCAGGAGTTTGGGGCCAGCCTTAGCAACACGGCAAAACCTTGCCTTTACAAAAAACACAAAAATAGCTGGGTTTGGTGGCAGATGCCTGTCGTCCCAGCTACTTGGGAGGCGGAGGTGGAAGAATTGCTTGAGCTCAGGAAGGCTGCAGTGAGCTGTGACTGTGCCACTGCACTCCAGCCTGGGACCCTGTCTGAAAAAATAAAATATAAAAAATAAAAGAAAACATGAAATACCTGAAAAATAATTCAAACTACTGATATTAAAGAAGCTCAGTGAGATCCAAGAGAACACAGACAAACACAAGGACATAAGAAAAACAATTCATGATCTGAATGAGAAATTTAACAAAGAGATATCATTTTAAAAAATCAAACAGAAATCCTGCATCTGAAGAGTTCTATGAATGAAATAAAAAATACAATTGAGAGCTTCAGAAACAGACTAGATCGGGGTGTCCAATCTTTTGGCTTCCCTAAGCCACACTGGAAGAATTGTCTTGGGCCACACATAAAATACAGTAACACTAATGACAGCTGATGAGCTAAAAAAAAAAAAAAAAAAAAAAATCATGTTTTAAGAAAGTTTACAGCTGGGCGCGGTGGCTCATGCCTGTAATCCCAGCACTTTGGGAGACTGAGGTGGGTGGATCACCTGAGGTCAGGAGTTTGAGACTAGCCTGGACAACATGGTGAAACCATGTCTCTACTAAAAGTACAAAAATTAACTAGGCATGGTTGCGCATGCCTATAATCTCAGCTACTTGGGAGGCTGAGGCAGGAGAATCACTTGAACCCGGGAGGCAGAGGTTGCGGTGCGCCAAGATCGCTCCACTGCACTCCAGTCTGGGCAACAGAGTCTCACTCTGTCTTAAAAGAAACAAAAAAAAAAAAAAAAAAAAGAAAAGAAGTTTACGAATTTGTGTTAGACCACATTCAAACTGTCCTAGGCTGCATAAGGCCCATGGATCACAGGTTAGACAAGCTTGAATTAGATCTTTTATTTATTTACTTTCCAAGATGACAGATAAGAGTCAGTGTTAGCATGCCTCTCCCACTTGGAAGGAAAGAATAGTGGCTAGAGAGTCACACTGTGAATTTTCTTTTTTCCAAGAACCACCACAGGAAGATGGAAGGAATCCACAAACCCTCTGAAAGAAGCAGCAGGCTGGAGCCTACTGCATGAGACAGGTGAAAAACTAAGTTCCCAGAGTGTAAGCAGGGGAATGAGCCTGTCTCGGAGCACACATCCCCACCTGCAAGTCTGAAAATCCAGACCATGGGAGAAAGCCTTAACCCTACCGAGAGCTGGAATGGATTTAGTCTATGTGAAATACAAAAGTAGACGCAGCAGCATGAAGTGCCTTGTAGGCATTCCCAGTCTCCAGCATGAACAGAGGCAAGCCATTCCTGACTGCATCTCATAGGGGCCCTCGAAGAAGCAGTCAATGAGTTCAGGGAGGGGTCATAGGGTGAAAGAAGCTCCCAGATGAATTTTGCGATATAATCTTGAGTAGGGATGAGCTCTCCTGAACAGAACCCACAGGGTGAGTGTAAAGTGTGCTACAGACATGAGCAGAGGAGCTGGGCGTCCGGCCTTATGGGCATATGGAGAAAGGCATGGTTATGGCCTTGGGCAGGTCTGAGTTCCGTGCGCAGACTGCCTGGAACTAAATCCAGTAAGCGAAGCACTGTGGGAGTGAGACCAGCGTCGCCAACTGTGAAAGAGCTGGGTGAGGCTCATTGTTGCCCACTACTCTCCACTCCCTTTGGGAACTCTTCTATGCAGCAGATGCAGTTAACTACCCTCTGGAACATTATCCCAGGAGCCTGAGGTCTCAAAGAAGTTCTGAAAGAAGTTCTGAATCTTGAAACAAAAGCTCTGAAATGCACCTATATAGAACCTCCTGAAAGCATAAATCTCACAGGGCCTAAAAAACAACAACAGAATGAAAAAAAAACAAAGTATCTAAGTAACAACTAACATGATGAATAGAACAGTACCTAACATTTCAATATTAACGTTGAATGTAAATGGCCTAAATGTTCCACTTAAAAGATACAGAATGACAGAATGGATAAAAAACCACCAAGTATCTGCTGTCATCAAGAGACTCACCTAACATATAAGGACTCATAAAAATTTAAGGTAAAGGGGTGGAAAAAGACATTCCATATAAATGGAAACCAAAAGCGAGCAGTAGTTATTCTTATATCAGACAAAACAGACTTTAAAGCAACAACAGTAAAAAAGACAAAGAAGGATGTTATACAATGATAAAAGGATTAGCCCAACATAAGGATACTATAATCCTAAATTTATATGCAACTAACACTGGAGCTCCCAGATTTATAAAACAATTACTATTAGATCTAAGAAATGAGACTGGCAACAACACAATAATAGTGTGGGACTTCAATACTCCACTGACAGCACTAGAAAGATCAAGACAAAAAGTCAACAAAGAAACAACAAACTTAAACTATATCCTAGAACAAATGAACTTAACAGGTGTTTACACAACATTCTTCCCAACAACTGCAGAATATACATTCTCCTCATCAGCACATGGAACAGTCTCCAAGATAGGTGATATGATGGGCCACAAAATAAGTCTCAATAAATTTAAGAAAATCAAAATCCTATCAAGTATCTTCTCAGACCACAGTGGAATAAAGCTGGAAATCAACTATAAAAGGAACTCTCAAAATTATACAAATACATGGAAATTAAATAATCTGCTCTTGTATAATTTTTGGGTTAACAATGAAATCAATATGTAAATTTAAAAATTCTTTGAAATGAATAATAGTGACACAACTTATCAAAACCTCTGGGATACAGCAAAAGCAGTGCTAAGAGGAAAGTTCACAGTGTTAAATGTCTACATCAAAAACCCTGAAATAGCACAGACAATTTAATGTCACATCACAAAGAAATAGAGAAACAAGAACAAACTAAACCCAAACCCAGGAGAAGAAGTAACAAAGATCAGAGCAGAATTAAATGAAATTGAAACAAACAAAAAAACAAAAAATACAAAAGATAAATGAAACAAAAAGCTGGTTCTTTGAAAAGATAAACAAAATTGATAGACCATTAGTGAGATTAACCAAGAAGACAGAAGATCCAAATAAGCTCAATTCACGGTGGCTCATGCCCACAATCCCAGCATTTTGGGAGGCCAAGGCAGGCATATCACTTGAGGTCAGGAGTTTGTGACCAGCCTGGACAACATGGTGAAACCCTCTCTCTACTAAAAATACAAAAATCAGCCAGGCATGGTGGCAGGCGCCTGTAATCCCAGCCACTTGGGAGGCTGAGGAAGGAGAATTGCTTGAACTTGGGAGGCAGAGGTTGCAGTGAGCCAAGATCACACCACTGCACTCCAGCCTGGGTGACACAGCAAGACTGTCTCAAAAAAAAAAAAAAAAAAAAAAAAAAAAGAAAGAAAGAAAAAAAAAAGAAACTGGAGATATTGTAACTGATACCACAGAAATACAAAAGGTCATTCAAGGCTACTATGAACACCTTTATGTGCACAAACTACAAAATCTAGAGGAGGTAGATAAGTTCCTGGAAATATATAACCCTTCTAGATTAAATCAGGAAGAAATAGAAACCCTGAACAGACCAATAACAAGCAGTGAGACTGAATCAGCAATTTTTTAAATTGCCAACAAAAAAAAGTCCAGGACCAGGTGGATTCACAGCTGAATTCTATCAGACATTCAAAGAAGAATTATTACCAATCCTACTAAAATTATTCCAAAAGACAGAAAAAGAGGAAATCCTCCCTAAATCATTCCATGAGGCCAGTATTACCCTAATACCAAAACTAGGAAAGGACATAACAAAAAAAGAAAACTACAGACCAATATCCTGATGAACATAGATGCAAAAATCCTCAATAAAATACTAGCTAACCAAATCCAACAGCATGTCAAAAAGATAATACATCATGATCAAGTGGGTTTCAAACTAGGGATGCAGGGATGGTTTAACATATGCAAGTCAATAAACATGCTACATAACAGAAACAGAATTAAAAACAAAAACCATATGATCATCTCAACAGAGATGGAAAAAGCATATGGTAAAATCCAGCATCTCTGCTGGGCAGAGTGGCTTATGCCTATAATCCCAGCACTTTGGGAGGCTGAGACAGGCAGACCACCTGAGGTCAGGAATTTGAGACCAGCCTGGTCAATATGGTGAAACCCCATCTCTACTAAAAATACAAAAATTAGCATGCCTGTAATCCCAGCTACTCAGAAGGCTGAGGCAGGAGAATCGCTTGAACCTGGAAAGTGGAGGCTGCAGTGAGCCAGATCGCACCACTGCATTCCAGTCTGGGAAAGAGAGTCAGGCTCTGTCTTTAAAAAAAAAAACAAAAAAAACAGCATCTCTTTATGATTAAAAACCCTCGGGCTGGGCGCAGTGGCTCACACCTATAATCCCAGCACTTTGGGAGGCCAAGGTGGGTGGATCACGAGGTCAGGAGATTGAGACCATCCTGGCCAACACGGTGAAACCCTGTCTCTACTGAAAATACAAAAAATTAGCTGGGCGTGGTGGCGGGTGCCTGTAGACCCAGCTCTTCCGGAGGCTGAGGCAGGAGAATGGCGTGAACCTGGGAGGTGGAGCTTGCAGTGAGCCGAGATCACACCACTGCACTCCAGCCTGGGCGACAGAGCGAGACTCCATCTCAAAAAAAAAAAAACAAAAAAACCCTCAACAAACTAGGCAAAGAAGAGACTTACCTCGAAGTAATAAAAACCATATATGACAAATCCACAGCCAACATCATGTTGAATGGGGAAAAGTTGAAAGCATTCCCGTTGAGAACTGGAACAAGACAAAGATGCCCACTTTCACCACTTCTATTCAACATAGTACTCAGCCAGAGCAATCAGACAAGAGAAAGAAATGAAGAAAATCCATATTGCAAAAGAGGAACCCAAACTGTCACTGTTTGCCAGTGATATGATCGTATACCTTAGAAAACCCTGAAGACTCCATCCTGGCTAACATGGTGAAACCCTGTCTCTACTAAATATACAAAAAAAATTAGCCAGGCATGGTGGCAGGCGCCTGTAGTCCCAGCTCCTTGGGAGGCTGAGGCAGGAGAATGGTGTGAACCTGGGAGGTGGAGCTTGCAGTGAGCCGAGATCGTGCCACTGCACTCCAGCCTGGGGTGACAGAGCGAGACTCCATCTTAAAAAAAAAAAAAAGAAAAAAAAAGAAAACCCTGAAGACTCATCCAAAAAGCTCCTAGATTGGATAAATAAATTTGGTAAAGTATCAAAGTACAAAATCAGTGTACACACATCAGTAGCACTGCTACACACCAACAATGACCAAGCTGAGAATCAAATCAAATTTAAAAACTCAACCACTTTTACAACAGCTGCAAAAACAAACAAACAAACAAAAACTTAGGAATATACTTAACCAAGGAGGTGAAGGCCCTCTACAAGGAAAACTACAAAACACTGCTGAAAGAAATCACAGATGACACAAACAAATGGAAAACACATCCCATGTTCATGGATGGGTAGAATCAATATTGTGAAAATGACCATACTGCCAGACGCAATCTACAAATTCAACGCAATTCCCATCAAGATACCACCATAATTCTTCACAGAACTAGAAAAAACAATCCTAAAATTCATATGAAACCAAAAAAGAGCCCACATAGCCAAAGCAAGACTAAGGAAAAAGAACAAATCTGGAGGCTTTACATTATCTGACTTCAAACTATACTGTTAGGCCACAGTCACCAAAACAACATGGTACTGGTATAAAAATAGGCACACAGATCAATGGAACAGAACAGAGAACTCAGAAATAAAGCCAAATACTTACAGTCAACTGATCTTTGACAAAACAAACAAAAACATAAAGTGGGGAAAGGACATCCTAATTGGCAAGCCACATGTAGAAGAATGAAACTGGATCCTCATCTCTCACCTTATACAAAAATCGACTCAAGATCGATCAAAGACTTAAATCTAAGACCTGAAACCATAAAAATTCTAGAAGATAACATCAGACAAACTCTTCTAAACATTGGCTTAGGCAAAGAATTCATGACTAACACCCCCAAAGCAAATGCAACAAAGACAAAAATAAATAAATGGGACCTAATTAAACTAAAAAGCTTCCGTAGAGCAAAAGAAATAATCAGCAGAGTAAACAGACAACCCACAGAGTGGGAGAAAATATTCACAAATTATGTATCTGACAAAGGACTAATATCCAGAATCTACAAGAAACTCAAACAAATCAGCAAGAAAAAAACAAATAGTCCCATCAAAAAGTGGGCAAAGGACATGGATAGACAATTCTCAAATAAGATGTACAAACAGCCAACAAACATATGAAAAAAATGCTTAACATCACTAATCATCAGAGAAATGCAAATTAAAACCATAATGAGATACCACTTTACTCCTGCAAGAATGGCCATAATTAAAAAGTCAAAAAACAATAGATGTTGGCATGGCTGTGTTGAGAAGGGAACACTTTCACAATGCTGGTGGGAATGTAAATTAGTACAACCACTATTGAAAACAATATGGAGATTCCTTAAAAAACTAAAAGCAGGGCCGGGCACGGCGGCTCACACCTGTAATCCCAGCACTTTGGGAGTTCGAGGAGGGTAGATTACCTGAGGTCAGGAGTTTGAGCCCAGCCTGGCCAATATGGTGAAACCCTGTCTCTACTAAAAATACAAAAATTAGCCAGGCATGGTGGCACACGCCTGTAGTCCCAGCTACTCAGGAGGCTGAGGCAGGAGAATGGCGTGCACCTGGGAGGCGGAGCTTGCAGTGAGCCGAGACTGCACCACTGCACTCCAGCCTGGGTGACAGAGCGAGACTCCGTCTCAAAAAAAAAAAAAAAAAAAAAAAAACTAAAAGCAGGACTACCATTCGATCCAGCAATCCCACCACTAGATATCTACCCCAAGGAAAATAAATCATTATATGAAAAAGAGACATGCACACACATGTTTATAACAGCACAATTAGCAACTGCAAAAATATGGAACCAGCCCAAATGCCCATCAACCAACTAGTGCATAAAGAAAATGTGAATCCTACTCAGTCATAAAAAAGAACAAAATAATAGCATTCGCAGCAACCTGGATGGAGTTGGAGTCCATCATTCTAAGTGAAGTAACCTAGGAACAGAAAACCAAGCATTGTATGTTCTCATTTATAAGTGGGAGCTAAGCTATGAGGATGCAAAGGCATAAGAATGATATAATAGACTTTAGGGACTCTTTGGGGTAAGGTTGTGGGGCTGAGGGAATAAAAGACTACATTTTGGGTACAGTGTACACTGCTTGGGTGAGGAGTGCACTAAAACCTCAGAAATCACCACTAAATAGCTCATCCATGTAACCAAAAACCACCTGTGACCCAAAAACTATTGAAATAAAATTTAAAAAATATACAGACTAGATCTAGCAGAATAAAGAATTTCAGAACTTCAGCTACTCAAGAGACTAAGGCAGGAGGATCCCTTGAGCCTCCCAGGAGGTGGAGGCTGCAGTAAGCTATGATCACTCCACTGCACTCCAGCCTGGGTGACAGAGTGAGACCCTGTCTCAAAACAAACAATGACAATAAAATGGAGGAGGAATAAAAAAAAAAAAATGAAGAAAGCCTAACTGACTTTGGGACAGCATAAACTGGCCAAATATTTGCATTTTGGGTGTTGTAGAGGGAGAAGGGATGGGTAAAGGAAAAGAAAATCTATTTAACAACATAGTAGCTAAAAACTTCTCAAATCTTGCAAAAGATATACACATACAGATACAGGAAGCTCAAAATTCTGCAAATAGATTGAATCCCAAAAGGTCTTCACCAAGGCACATTATACTCAAACTATCAAAAGGCAAAGAAAGAGATAAAATTCTAAAAACAGGAGAAAGGCCTAAAGTTACATAGAAGGGAAGCTTCCTTTAGACTAACAGTGTATCTCTCAGCAGGATCATTACAGGCCAGGAGAGAATGCAATGATATATTTAAAGTGCTGAAAGAAAAAAACCTGTCAGCCAAGAATATTATTCCCAGAAAAGCTATCCTTCAAAAATGAAGGAGAAATAAAGTCTTCTCAGACAAGTAAAAACTGAAGGAATTCATTACTGCTAGACCAGCCCTCCAAAAAATGCTTAAGGAAGTTCTACATCTGGAAGCAAAAAGACAGTATCTACCATCATGTGAAAACACATAAAAGTATAAAACTCACTGGTAGAACAGACATACAAACGAGAGAGAGAGAAAAAACTCAAATGTTACCACTACAGAAAACCACTAAACCACAATGATAAACAATGAGAGAAAGGAACAAAGGATATATAAAACAACCAGAACTCAACTAATAAAATGACAGGAATAAGCCCTTACATATCAATAATAATAACCTTGAATGTAAATAGATTATCCACTTAAAAGACAAATAATAGCTTAATGGATAAAAAAGTATGGCCCAACTATATGCTGCCTACAAGAACCTCACTTCACTTGTAAAAACACATACAGACTAAAAGTGAAAAAATGGAAAAAGATACTCCACACAAATGGAAACCAAAAGTGAGGGGGAGTAGCTATACTTAGATCAAAGAGATTTTAAGTCAAGAACAGTAAAAAAGGACAAAGGAGGCCATTACATAATGATAAAGGGATCAATTCAGAAAGAGGATATAATAATTCTAAATATATATGTACCCAACACTAGAGCATCCAGATTAAAGCAAATATTATCAATCTAAAGAGAGAGACACCAACACAATAGTAGTCAAGGACTTCAACAGCCCACTCTCAACAGAAAAGATAAATGAAACTGATAAATGGCTAGCTAGACTAACCAAGATTGGAAACAAAAAAAGGAGGCATTATAACTGATACCACAGAAATATAAATGATCATCAGAGACTATTAAAACAGAACAACTATACACTAACAAACTGAAAAGCCTAAAGGAAATGAATAAATTCCTGGACATATACAACCTACGTTGATTGAACCAGGAAAAAAACAAACAAACAAACAAACAAAAAAACCAGAAAATCTGAATAGACCAATAACACATAACAAGATTGAATCAGTAATAAAAAGGCTCCCAAAAGAGAAAAGCTGCAGACCAGATGGCTTTCCTGCTAAATTCTACCAAACTTATAAAGAAGAATTAACATCAATTCTTTTCAAACTATTCCAAAAACCTCAAGAGGGAAGAATTGTTCCTAACTCATTCTGTGAGAACAGTATTACCCTAATACTAAAACCAGACAAGGACACAACAAAAAAGAAAACTACAGGCCAATATCCCTGATGAACAGACACAAAAATCCTTAACAAAATACTAGCAAACTGAATTGAACAACACATCAAAAGTCCCACTAGATCATAATACACCCTGATCAAGTGGGATTTATCTCAGAGATATGAGAATGGCTCAACATGTGCAAACCAATGAGTGTGATACATCACATCAACAGAATGAAGCACAAATATCATACTATCATCTCAATAGATGCAGAAAAGGCATTTGATAAAATTCAACATTCTGTCATGATAAAAAAAACTCTCAACAGGCCAGGCGCAGCAGCTCACGCCTATAATCCCAGCACTTTGGGAGGCTGAGGCAGGCGGATCACCTGAGATTGGGAGTACGAGACCAGCCTGACCAACATGGAGAAACCCCATCTCTACTAAAAATACAAAAATTAGCCAGGCGTGGTGGCGCATGCCTGTAATCCCAGCTACTCAGGAGACTGAGGCAGGAGAATCACTTGAATCTGGGAGGCAGAGGTTGCGGTGAGCTGAGATTGTGCCATTGGACTCCAGCCTGGGCAATAAGTGCAAAACTCCATCTCAAAAAACAAAAAACAAAAAACCTCTCAACAAAAGAATGTACCTCAACATAATAAAAGCCACATATGACAAACCTGCAGCTAACATACTGAATGAGGAAAAGCTAAAAGTCTTTCAAGAATTGGAACAAGACAAAGATGCCCACTTTCACCACTCCTATTCAACATAGCACTGGAAGTCCTAGCCAGAGCAATCAGGCAAGAGAAACAGAAGGCTTCCAAACTGGAAATGAGGAAGTCAAACTGTCCATCTTTGCAGATGACATGTTCTTACATAGAGAAAAACCTAAAGACTCCACCAAAAAAAAAAAAAAAAAAAAACCTTAGAACTAATAGACAAATTCAGTAAAGTTGCAGGATACAAAACAAACACAAAAATCAGTAGTGTTTCTATACACCAATAATGAACTAGCTAAAGAAGAAATCAAGAAGTCAATCCCATTTATAATAGCTATAAAAAAAATAAAATATCTGGAAATAAATTTAACCAAGGAAGCAAAAGACCTCTATAAGGAAAACTACAGTACACTATTAAAAGCAATTGAAGAGAATATGATATAGTTTGGCTGTGTCCCCACCCAAATCTCATCTTGAATTGTAGCTCCCATAATTCCCACATATTACAGGAGGGACCTGGTGGGAGATAATTGAATCATGGGGGCGGTTTCCTCCATACTGCTCTTGTAACAGTGAATAAATTCTCATGAGATCCAATGGTTTTATAAGGGAAAACCCCTTTAGTTTGGCTCTCTGATTCTCTCTTGCCACCGCCATTTAAGAAGTGCCGTTTGTCTTCTGCCATGATTGTGAGGCCTCCTCAGGCATGTTGAACTGTGAGTCCATTAAACCACTCTTACTTTATAAATTACCCAGTGTCAGGTATGTCTTTGTCAGCAGCATGAAAACAGACTAGTACAGGATACAAATAGAAAGACATCCCTTGTGCACAAATCAGAAGAATTAACATTATAAAATAACCATAATACCCAAAGCAATCTACGAATACAATGTAATTCCTACCAAAATACCAATAACATTCCTCACAGAAATAGAGAAAGCAATCCTAGGCCAGGTACAGTGGCTCACACCTGTAACCCTAGCACTTTGGGAGGCTGAGGCAGGTGGATCATTTGAGGTCAGGAGTTCAAGACCAGCCTACCTGGTGAAACTCTTGTTTCTACCAAAAAACAAAAATAAATAAATAAATAAATAAAAATTAGCTGGGTGTGGTAGTGTGCACCTGTAATCCCAGCTACTTGGGAGGCTGAGGCACAAGAATCACTTGAACTCGGGAGGCCAAGGTTGCAGTGAGCTGAGACTGCACCACTGCACTCAAGCCTGAGTGACAGAGTGAGACATTGTCTCAAAAAAAGAAAAAAAGAAAGAAAGAAACCCTAAAATTAGTACAAAACCACAAGAGTCCGAATAGCCAAAGCAATACTGAACCAAAATAATAAAGCTGGAAACATCATACTACCTCACTTCAAAATATACTACAAAGCTACAGTAACCAAAATAACATGATATTGGTATTTAAAAAGACATGGACCAGTGGAACAGAACAGATGCATGGAAATCTAGGTATTTATAGCCACTGATTTTCAACAAAAGCACCAAGAACACACAATGGGGAAAGGACACCCTCTTCAATAAATGGTGCTGGGAAAATTGGATATCCATATGCACAAGAATAAAACTAGACTCCTATCTTTCATCATAGAAAAATCAGCTCAAGACGGATTAATGACTTAAACATAATACCCAAAACTATAAAACTACTATAGGGAAACATAGGAAAAACACTCTAGGACATCCAGGCAAAGATTTTACGGCTAGGACCTCAAAAGCACAGGGAACAAAAACAGACAAATGGGATTACATCAAACTAAAAAGTTTCTGCACAGCAAAGGAAACAATCAACAGAGTAATGAGACACCTGTTGAATGGGAGAAACTATATGCAAACTATTCATCCAATGGGGGACTAGTATCCAATATACACAAGAAGCTCAAATAACTCAACAGCAAAGAAAAAAAAATCCTGTTAAAAAGAAGGTAAAGGATCTGAATAGACATTTCTCAAAAGAAGACATGCAAATAGCCAAAAGATATATGAAAAGATGCTCAACATAACTAAACATCAGGGAAATGCAAATCAAAATCACAATGAGTTATCAACTTACCCCAGTTAAGATATGACTACTATCAAAAAGATAAAAAATAACAAATGCTGGTGAGGATGTGAAGAAAAGGGAACTTTTAGACATTGTTGGTCAGAATGTAAATTAGTATAGCTACAATGGAAAACAATATGGAGGTTCCTCAAAAAAAAACTAAAAATAGAATTACCATATGCTCCACCATTCCTGCCACTGGGTATTCATCCAAAGGAAACAAAATCAGTATATCTAGGCAATATCCACATCCCCATTTTTATTACAGCACTATTCACAATAGCCTAGATACGGAATCAACCTAAGTGTCCATCAACAGATGAATGAATAAAGAAAAGTGGTGTATATACACAATGGAATACTATTCCATCATAAAAAAGAAAATCCGGTCATTTGCAGCAACAAGGATGGAACTGGCATTAGGTTAAGTGAAATAAGCCAGGGACAGAAAGACAAAAAGAAAAAAAAAAAATCTCATGTTCTCACTCACATGTGAGAACTAAAAAAATTGATCTCATGGAGGTAGAGAGTAGAATGATAGTTACCAGAGGCTGGGAAGGGTATGTGCGGAGCGGGGAAGGGAGTATGGAGAGGATGCAGAGAAGTTAGTTGGGGGTGGGGCAGGGGTTTAAAAAAGAATTATTTGGGTAAAGACATACAGTTAGATAGAAGAATAAGACCCAGTGCTTGATAGCACAGTAAGGTGACAATGATTAAAAATAATATGTCATATATTTCAAAATAGCTAGAAGAGAAGATCTGAAATGTTCCCAGCACAAAGAAACAATAAATATTTAAGGTAATGGATATCTTAAATACCTGTTTTGATCATTACACATTGTATATATGTATCAAAATATCACATGTACCCCATAAATATGTACAAATATTATGTACCAATTTAAAAAAAATTTAAGGAAAGTGAGAATGAGAGAAAATATCTGCAAATCATATATCTGATAAGGGACTAGCGTCCAGAATACATAAAGAACCAGTATAACTCAACAATAAAAAGACAAATACCTCCCTCAAAAAACAAAGGATCTGAATAGATACTTCTCCAAAGAAGATATACAGATGGCCAATAAGCACATGAAACGATGCTCAACATTGTTAGCCATTACAGAAATTCAATTTAAAATCACAATAAGATACCACTTTATACCTACTAGGTTGATAAAAGAGCAGACAGTAACAAGAGTTGGTGAGGGCATAAAGAACTGGAACCCCTACACACTGAGGGAGGAATGTAAATGGTGCAGGCACTTTAGAAAACAGTCTGGCAGTTCCTCAAAAGCTACATAAAGAGTTGCCACATGACTCAGCAGTTCCATTTGTGGGTATACATACTCTGGAGAACTGGAAACATATCCGTACAGGAACTTGTACATGAATGTTCACAGCAGCATCATTCGTAGTAGCCAAAATGAGTAAAATGTCATTGAGTAAAATGTCTGTACATTCTAGTGTTAACAAGTGACAAGAAGAAAAGTTTTTTTAAAAAGTCTGTATACTCATGAATATATAAATATATAAAATACATAGTATATGTCCATACAATGGAATATTATTTTGCAATAAAAAGAAATGAAGTACTGATACATACTACAACATAAATGAACTTTGAAAGCATTATGCTAATTGAAAGAAGCTGATCACAAGGGACCACATACCACATGATTCAATTTATATGAAATGTCCAGAATAGTCAGGTCTATAGAGATAGAAAGTACATTAGTGGCCGCCTAGGACCAGGGAAGCAAGATGAGAGACTGGAAATAATGGCTAAGGAGTGTTGGGTTTCTTTTCAGAATAATAAACCATTTTTAAAATTGATTATCATGATGTTGCATAACTCTGTGAATAAACTAAAGCCACTGAGTTGTACACCTTAAGTGGGTGAACTGTATGGTATATGAATTATATCTTGATAAAGCCATTTATAAAGAGTGTCAAAGATAATGATGTAATAGATTCAGTATAATGAATGAGAGTAAATAAAACAAATTTCAAAAGCCTGCAATGTCAGCACTTTGGGAGGCCAAGGCAGGAGGATCACTTGAGGCCAGGAGTTAGAGACCAGCCTAGGCAATATAGAAAGACCCCACCTCTACCAGAAAAAAAAAACAAAACAAAACTCAATACCAAGGATGAAAGAAAAACTAAGGGAGTTTACTACCCACAGACTTTTAAAGTATCTACAGAGGCACTTCAGCAAGAATAAAAGTGAACACAGAAAAAAAGGTATAAAATTCAAGAAACAACTTACAAAATTTGGGAATTTTGATTCATAAATGTAATTAATCATTGAGTACAAAAAAAGTAGTAACCATAAATTGGTGGTTTTTTTTTGTTTTTTTTGAGACGGAGTCTCACTCTGTCGCCCAGGCTGGAGTGCAGTGGCGCGATCTCGGCTCACTGACAGCTCCGCCTCCCAGGTTCACGCCATTCTTCTGCCTCAGCCTCCCAAGTAGCTGGGACTACAGGCGCCCACCACTGCGCCCGGCTAATTTTTCGTATTTTTAGTAGAGACGGGGTTTCACCATGGTCTCAATCTCCTGAGCTCGTGATCCGCCCACCTCGGCCTCCCAAAGTGCTGGGATTACAGGCGTGAGCCACTGCGCCCAGCCCGTAAATTGTGTTTTTTAACAATAAGGAAAATTGAGGTCAGGAGTTCAAGACCAGCCTGACCAACATGGTGAATCCCTGTATCTACTTAAAACACAAAATTAGCTGGGTGTGGTGGCACATGCCTATAATCCCAGCTACTTGGGAGGCTGAGGCAGGAGAATCGCTTGAACCCAGGAGGCGGACAGTGCAGTGAACCAAGATCGCGCCATTGCACTCCAGCCTGGGCAACAAGAGAGAAACTCCGTCTCAAAAAAAAATAATAAATAATAATAATAATAAATAAAATAAATTAGCTGGGCATGGTGGCTTGCACCTATAGTCCCAGCTACTTGAGAGGCTGAGGTGGGAGGACTGCTTGAGCCTGGGAGGTCAAGACTGCAGTGAGGCTGTAATTGCACCACTGTACTACAGCCTGGGTGACAGAGCGAGACTATGTCTCAATAAAATAAAAATTAAAATTAAATAAAATTTATAGGAAACACAAATGGAACAGAAACACAGTATACAGTTTCCAAACTGAGAAAGAGAAAAATAAGAGGAAAAAGAAAATTCACTCAACACAATGGAAGGCAATAAAAGGAAAACGGTAAAACAAAACAAAACAAAACAACAACAACAACAACAAAAAAAACCAACAACAACAAAAACTTCTATATAGTATTTGGAAACTAAAAAATAGAGCTGAACTATGAAAGTTCTACATGTCAATGCTTGTGGTATGTAGCTAAATCAGGACTTAGAGATAAATGTGTAGCCTTAAATGAATTTATTAAAAAATAAGACAAACAAATGAATTAAGTGCTCAATTCAAGAAGCTAAAAATAACGGGAACCTCACAAAAACAGGAGGATCATAATAAAGATTAGAAATCAAGGAACCAGAAAACAAACAAACAAAAAAATTAGAGAAGGCAACAAAACTAAAAGCTGACTCTCTGAAAAGACTAAAAAAAAAAAAACAAAAACAAAAACAACCTAGGCTGGTGCAGTAGCTCATGCCTGTAATCCTAGCACTTTTGGAGGCCAAGGCAGGAGAAGCACTTGAGCCCAGGAGTTCCAGACCAGCCTGGGTAACATAGTGGGACTCCATCGCTACAAAAAAAAATTTTTTAACTAGCCAGGCATGGTGACACATGCCTGAAGTCCCAGCTACTCAGGAGGTTGAGGCTGGAAGATCACTTGAGCCCAAGAGATTGAGGTGGCAATGAGCCATGATCATACCACTGCAGTTCAGCCTGGGTGGCTTCAGCCTGCCTCAAAAAAAAAAAGGAACCTAGAACAAGATGTCAAGAAAAAAAGGAACAATCTAAGTTAGTCCCCCTGTAAAGGAATGGATAGTGGAATATTCATAAACTAGAATACTATATACAATAGCTAAATGAATAGAGAGCTCTGCGTGTACACAACGTTGATGGAGAAAAAAGTTACAAAATGATATGATCAGTATGATACAATTTATATAAAAACTTAAATCCCATACATTGTTTATGGATATGTATCTATAAATTAAGTATAAAAACATGAATAGCAAGGATTTACACAGCTTGAGGATCCTGGTTATACTTCTGAGGTAAGAGAGGGAGTGGAATGGAATAGTGGAAGACACAAAGAAAGTTTCAACTATATCTGAACATTTTAGTTCCTAAAAAGGTCTGAAACAAGTATGACAAAATGTGATTAACACTTAAATATGGGTGGTGGGAACAGAGATGTTCATTATGTTGCATTCTTTATTTTCTATATTTCTTTCAAATATGTGAAATATTTCGAAGAATAAAATAATCACACTGCCCTATGTATGCAGAATGAAATGGAAGAGAGCAAGAGTGAAACAAGAAGACCTTCTAAGAGAGCATTTGTAGAAATCCTGGCTAGAGTGATGGTAACCTAGAATAGAGATGACAATAACAAAATGAAGAGAAGTCAACGAATGTGAGATTATATTAAGAACAATTTATGGGACTTATTGATGGACTGGGTATGAGGAGCTTGACAGAAGAAGGAATCAAGGTTAACTTCAGCTAAAGCAACATGTAGGCATAGATGCCACTTACTCAAACAGGGAAAGGTGGCAAAGGAACCAGTTAGGGGGCATGAAAGAATCCTGTTTTATGTTCATCTTTTATTTCTCCTACTCAGACATAAGCTCTTTATGGGGAGAATCTGTCTGCTTTATCTTTGTATCCCCCAAAGTTCATAATGTAACTAAGTTGAATCAATGTTATACACACTGCCTAGTTTTGAAAAACAGACAACCCTCTTTAAAAGCGTCAGTTTTCGCTCTCTCCTCTCTCCTCTCTCTCCCCTCTCCCCACGGTCTCCCTCTGATGCCGAGCCGAAGCTGGACTGTACTGCTGCCATCTCGGCTCACTGCAACCTCCCTGCCTGATTCTCCTGCCTCAGCCTGCTGAGTGCCTGCGATTGCAGGCGCGCGCCGCCACGCCTGACTGGTTTTCGTATTTTTTTGGTGGAGACGGGGTTTCACTGTGTTGGCCGGGCTGGTCTCCAGCTCCTAACCGCGAGTGATCTGCCAGCCTCGGCCTCCCGAGGTGCCGGGATTGCAGACGGAGTCTCGTTCACTCAGTGCTCAATGGTGCCCAGGCTGGAGTGCAGTGGCGTGATCTCGGCTCGCTACAACCTCCACCTCCCAGCAGCCTGCCTTGGCCTCCCAAAGTGCCGAGATTGCAGCCTCTGCCCGGCCGCCACCCCGTCTGGGAAGTGAGGAGCGTCTCTGCCTGGCCGCCTATCGTCTGGGATGTGAGGAGCCCCTCTGCCCGGCTGCCCAGTCTGGAAAGTGAGGAGCGTCTCTGCCCAGCCGCCATCCCATCTAGGAAGTGAGGAGCGCCTCTTCCCGGCCGCCATCCCATCTAGGAAGTGAGGAGCGTCTCTGCCCGGCCGCCCATCGTCTGAGATGTGGGGAGCGCCTCTGCCCGGCCACGACCCCATCTAGGAAGTGAGGAGCGTCTCTGCCCGGCCGCCCCGTCTGAGAAGTGAGGAGACCCTCCGCCTGGCAACCGCCCCATCTGAGAAATGAGGAGCCCCTCCGCCCGGCAACCACACCGTCTGGGAAGTGAGGAGCGTCTCCGCCCGGCCAGCCGCCCCGTCTGGGAGGGAGGTGGGGGGTGGGGTCAGCCCCCCTCCCGGCCAGCCGCCCCGTCTCGGAGGGAGGTGGGGGTCAGCCCCCCGCCCAGCCAGCCGCCCCGTCCGGGAGGGAGGTGGGGGGGTCAGCCCCCCTCCCGGCCAGCCGCCCCATCTCAGAGGGAGGTGGGGGGGTCAGCCCCCCGCCCGGCCAGCCGCCCCGTCCGGGAGGTGAGGGGCGCCTCTGCCCGGCCGCCCCTACTGGGAAGTGAGGAGCCCCTCTGCACGGCCAGCCGCCCCGTCCGGGAGGGAGGTGGGGGGGTCAGCCCCCCGCCCAGCCAGCCGCCCCGTCCGGGAGGGAGGTGGGGGTGTCAGCCCCCCACCCGGCCAGCCACCCCGTCCGGGAGGGAGGTGGGGGGGTCAGCCCCCCGCCCGGTCAGCTGCCCCATCTGGGAGGTGAGGGGCGCCTCTGCCTGGCCGCCCCTACTGGGAAGTGAGGAGCCCCACTGCCCGGCCAGCCGCCCCATCCGGGAGGGAGGTGGGGGGGTCAGCCCCCCGCCCAGCCAGCCGCCCCGTCCGGGAGGGAGGTGGGGGGGTCAGCCCCCCGCCCGGCCAGCCGCCCCGTCCGGGAGGGAGGTGGGGGGGTCAGCCCCCCGCCCGACCAGCCGCCCCGTCCGGGAGGGAGGTGGGGGGGTCAGCCCCCCGCCCGAACAGCCACCCAGTCCGGGAGGTGAGGGGCGCCTCTGCCCGGCCGCCCCTACTGGGAAGTGAGGAGCCCCTCTGCCCGGCCGCCACCCCGTCTGGGAGGTGTACCCAACAGCTCATTGAGAACGGGCCATGATGACAATGGCGGTTTTGTGGAATAGAAAGGGGGGAAAGGTGGGGAAAAGATTGAGAAATCGGATGGTTGCCGTGTCTGTGTAGAAAGAAGTAGACATGGGAAACTTTTCATTTTGTTCTGTACTAAGAAAAATTCTTCGGCCTTGGGATCCTGTTGATCTGTGACCTTACCCCCAACCCTGTGCTCTCTGAAACATGTGCTGTGTCCACTCAGGGTTAAATGGATTAAGGGTGGTGCAAGATGTGCTTTGTTAAACAGATGCTTGAAGGCAGCGTGCTCGTTGAGAGTCATCACCACTCCCTAATCTCAAGTACCCAGGGACACAAACACTGCGGAAGGCCGCAGGGTCCTCTGCCTAGGAAAACCAGAGACCTTTGTTCACTTGTTTATCTGCTGACCTTCCCTCCACTATTGTCCTATGACCCTGCCAAATCCCCCTCTGTGAGAAACACCCAAGAATGATCAATAAAAAAAAAAAAAAAGGAAAAAAAAAAAAGTGTCAGTTTTCAAAGACATTTTATATCACTTAATATTACAATAAAGGAAAAAAAACTTTCAAGAGGTTCCCACAAAAGTTTTCCTATGCTGCTGATTCAGACTTTTAAGGCCCATAGAAATTTATGCTTTCCACTTTCTTACTAAGCCATTTTAATCAGTTTCATATGATTCTACCAGTTCGGTAGATTATAAGGTATACAATACTATAATGTATACTATTATAAATGGGATGCAATTTATAATAGGGTTATTATTATACAATATATCCTTATAAACTACTAGTCATGTATTGTTTTGGTTATATAGTTTATACAGCCCCTTATGTGGCTTGGTTATACTACCACCTAGATAAGTAGGCAAGACATTCTGTAATATTTAGTGCAGAGCTGGAATTCACGCCTAAAGCATCAGGCGGCAAATCCAGAATTCGTCATTTTACTAATAATGAAACTGATGCTTGAAGAAGTCAGGTGACTTGGCCAAAGATATAAAGCTAATAACTGTAGGCTAATTTTGCTCTCCTTAAGGAACTGATGCTATTCTAAGCTTGTTAACATTATGAAAATGCATAATGAAAAAACTCAAAATTTATCCAAAAGACAGATTCTAATTCTTTTGCTTACTTTTGAAGTCTGAATCATATGATACAGAAGATTCTTCCACTAATACTACATAATCAGAACAGTGAAAGTAAAATCACATTTCAAAGGGTCATTAACTAAGTGTGTTTTCCCTACGATAAAACGGTAACCAAGTTTCTTTAGAGGGAAATTAACTGTATCTAAAAAGTAATACTTGAGTATATCATAATACCACAAGTTTCAATTACTGTTTTTTTGTTATTCAAAACCAAAACAAGTATATGTCAACCACTGCATATTGGCAACTACCCCTTTTTAGTGAACCATGAAAACTGAGGAGTGTTAGGTCCTAGGTCAATTTTTAATGTCAAACACAATAAGTGATGTGATTTTAGTCAACTTCAGAGTAGCTTTATGCTTATACTTCCCCCCCTCTCAGTTTATCCCATTAGCTTAGGATATTTGGGGAAGGTGGAGGAACATATTAAAGAGTAGTTCAGAATTCAACAAAGTACTCAAAGCTTTAAGTATAAATATCCCATATAAATAAATCCGGGATTTAACTGTTTTATCCTAACAGTTTAGAAATGTCATTTTAAGTGCCAAAAGGAAATTCCAAAAGGACTCTTAGAAAAACTGTTATAAATTTTTAAATGTGAGAATACAGTCATTTGAAAATATACATAATCCACATTTTTAGCAATGCTAGTTCTGCTGCTGGATTTACATAAATTTGTTTGTGTCAAGTTTATTTCTCCCTGTTGTATGGGATACATATAAATGGAAACAAAACTGAGTTCAAAGGCATAATGAGTATACTTATTTCTTCTTAAATTCAATATATTTTTATTTGATTTTAGAAATAATGAGAAACCAATGATGGTTACTGCACCAGGTGTGACACTATGAGAGAATGCTTTAATAGTATAGCTTTGGCTGTAATGCAAAGAATAGATAGTACAATGACAGAGATAGGAGGGTATTAGAAGTTAGAGATGGGTATGTGTTATAATAGTCTGGGTCAGGCAAGAACTTTATAAAAGCTCAGATTCCGGGGTAACACCCCTGGAATTCTGAGTCAATGGGTGTAAAGCTAGTCCTCTTAATTCTAGATGAAATGCTAAACATGAATGACTGGTAGGAAGTTAAAGCATCAAAGGGAGAATATCCTTGATGCTGACCCTTTTAGAAGAATATCAGAAACCCATAAAAATTATAAGCAGATGCTTCATTTTTACCACAAATGGATACTGACTCACCTGGATCAGGGTCATATTTTAGGTCCAGTGGATGTACAACAGGGTGGTACTGCTTCTAAACATAACATAAATTAAAACAGATTTAATCACTTAATGCTTCATATAAACATCTCTTTCAGCTAATATGGGAGATATACTATAGAGTCAGTACCATTCTTTTGAGGAAAAAAAATTAAATCCTACTGTCTGTAGGGAAGAGGAGGTGAGAAGGTAAAACCAAACTAAGTCTGAATTATGTCTTTTACAGTACTGCCACCTGCTGCATATACTAAGAAGTGGCACCATAAAAAAGTATAATCAGAAAAAGCAATCAAGCAAATTAAAAGCATAGAAACTGAATTTTATGTTTAAAGTACAGGGTAGTCTCCAATTATGAAGGGACTGTGTTTCAAAAGTTCATTCAGGACAAGTGTTTAGAACTCAAAATGCATATTTCCATGAAAACTCAGTTCTAAAAGGTGGCGAGGCTACATTACCACCACACTAAGCCTATATATCCTGCGACACACTGAAATTATAGTAGCAGAATTACTGGCACAGAATCTACAATGCAGGCAAAAAGAAAGAGGAAATTGCTCTTCCTTATTCTTGCCCAAAGCCAGCAGAAGCCAAAAAGGTTAAAAGAAAGAAAACAAGAAGAAAAAAAGGTCTTCAGCCAGCTGTGGTGACTCACACTTGTAATTGCAGCACTTTGGGAGGCCCAGGCAGGAGAATGTCTTTTGCTCAGGAGTCTGAGACCAGTCTGAGCAACAAGGAGGGAAGAAGGGAGGAAAGACGCAGGGCAGGGCAGGGCAGGAAAAAATTTTGAAAAGGTCTTTGGTATCCTCACCTTATCTATTTTGCATTACTTTTTAAACTACCACAGCAGTACCTCACCTAGGCCAGCCATCTTTCTTTTCTGCAATATTGATTACTAGTTTTGGGGGTTTAGGGGTAGTGGGGCAGTAACAAGGGCAACACTGAAAAATACACTTTCAATGTTTTTCCTGAAAAAAACTTTCAAGTGGGAGGGGTGGGGGAAGTGATGGAATGCGGTATTTGAGAACTGCTATAAAGAAAATTAAAAATTCTGCTCATGAATACTGTTTTTCACAGAATAACTAAAATGTTTTAGATACAATATTAAGCCGGGCATATAATGACCTGAAACAATCCTGAAACTGAGGCAACTAGAAGATTTATATGTGAACATTTATGTACTAATTTCAAAAACTAAAGGCAATAGTATAGCACAATCTAAACACAACATGTACCTCACTGGAGGGACAATGCTATTCCCAGCAAACCTCCCCTCCCCACCAAGGGAAGATTTGGGTCCAATTTTCTTGTGGATTTCCTATTTTTTATTTATTCTAGTCCTAATAAATCTGAAAAGATGAGGGTGTGATATGGTTGGTCATTGATATCTATAGTAATTATAAGAAGGAAGTCTACGGCTCTGCTTGTCTAAAAAGCTCGTGCTGAAGGAGCTGAATTCCTGGTCTTGTCACCCAGATGTTCATGATTTTTGCAGCAAAACAAATTACACCCAATTCATAAAGCAAATTTCAGTGTTATGAACAGGTACTAAAACAATCTTCATCATCAATTTAACTAAATGGTCTTCCAAAATATACAAACATACAAATATATGCCAAAAAAAAACAACAAACAGAAAGAAAAGTGTTAAAAGAAAAGCTTCTTTTTCCATCCTTGTCTCAGAATCATAAAGTCATTGTCAGTCTTCCATCACCAATTTCAATTTTAACCACTCACTATAACTTTCATTTTTTTCATTTTTGAACCAGTGTGTTCAAAACACAGTATAGTATGACTATACTATGTCATAGTACAACTTAGAAGAGTAAAGTCTTACAAGAGACAAACAATACTAATTGAGGCAGGAAAGAAAAAGACAACAAAATGTCACTTATCTCCACGTAGAGCCTTATATTTTAATGTTTTTATTGTGGTAAAATATACTATAACATTTTAAAGGCAAATCATCTTACCAGAATTTCTTGTTTTGCTTTTATGGTTTTGATGACACATTCCAGGATCTTTCTGGGATACTGCTTACGTTTTGTGGCTATATCTACTATGATTTCATCAAACTGATCTTCAAGTACTTTGATGTCAGAATCTATTTGAGAAAAAAAAATGTATATATAAAAAGTTCCCTAAAACTCATTGTTTACATTCTGTATGGAAATGTGCTATAAACTAAATTTAGAAAACACAAAATAATGAAGGAAAACAAATATGGCAAGTTAATGAATGCCCCCACTTTGGTGATTAATTTATTTACGCATTGAACAATCAATTATTGAGCATCTATAAGAAGCCAGGCCTAAACAAGAGAAATACAAAGATGAGCACAACATGATTCCTACTCTCTAAGAGTTCACAGTTTGCTGAAAGAAACAGACAATTGCAAGGCAACCTGATAAGTGCAATAGAGGTATGAGCAAAATGCCATCAGGACACAGAACAATGGAAAACTGACTGACTGTGAAATATAAGACTTTAAAGAAGTAACATTTGAGCTTGAAATAGAAGTATAAGTCCAATGGATAAAAAGTGGTACGGGAAAAAAGGAATAGGGAGAAGCATTTTAGGCAGTGGAAACAGTATTTGCAAGATCCTAGTCTTTGGAGACCTGAGAAAAGTTCTAAATGGCTACAGAATAAAGTAAAGGAGAAATGGATGATAAAATATATAAGAACCAGGCTGTAAAGGGTATTTAATATCAGGGATGCTAAGAAGTTTTGACTTATTATGAACTGACCCAAAGCTATGACAGTAGCAGTGAGTGGAGTAACTAGATCTGAAATAGGACTCAACTGGATTGATGGTAGGAAAAACTGAAAGATACAGTGAGTTTAGAGTTTCTTTCATTTAGCTAACTCTACTTTATCATATGCTTTTTCATGTTTTAAAACAGTGATTCTCAAATGTTAGAAGAATCACCTAACGAGTATGTTAGGAGTACAGATTTTTTTTTTAATACTTTAAGTTCTAGGGTACATGTACACAATGTGCAGGTGTGTTACATATGTATACATGTGCCATGTCGGTGTGCTGCACCCATTAACTCGTCATTTACATTAGATATATCTCCTAATGCTATCCCTCCCCACTCCCCCGACCCCACAACAGGCTCCAGTGTGTGATGTTCCCCAACCTGTTTCCAAGTGTTCCCATTGTTCAATTCCCACCTATGAGTGAGAACATGCGGTGTTTGGTTTTCAGGAGTACAGAATTTTGATTCAGTAAGTCTGAGATGGGGCCCAGAAATGAAGCACCCTAGATGAAAGGAATGTAGGTGATCCATCTAACTTTATTTTGAAAATCATTTTAAAGAGTAAAAATACTAAGTAGTTACAAATACTAAAGAGCTAAGTTCTTAGCTTAACTGGTCCTCATATTGCTCTGTTGTGTCAAAGTCTAAGCTAGAAATGGACCTATTTATTTTATTGATCAGAAGCTTTATTAGGAAGAAATCTAACATCTGAAACATAATTTTTGAAACATTTTGAGAAATTGCTGATATGTTTCGGTATATACATATCAGATAATCAAGTATATCAGGTATAGTCTTTCATTCATGTCACAAATATTAATTGAATCCCACTAAATTAGTTCTTTTGAGGGCACCCTTTTTTTCCTTTTTCTCTTTCTTTCCTTCCTTCTTTCTTTCCCTTTCCTTCCCATTCATTCTCCCTCCCTTCCTTTCCTTCTTTTCTTTCCTTTCCTCCCTCCTTCTTTCCTAGATAGATAGATAGAGAGAGAGACACACACAGATTGATTTTCAATAGCTTTTGGGGTACAAGTGGTATTTGGTTACATGGATGAATAGTACAGTGGTGAAGTCTGAGATTTTAGTGCACTCATCACCCAGTAGTATACATTGTGAAAGTACCCTTCTTTTGAGGGCAAGAAATAATAGTTATTTCTTACTTTGAATAATTATTTATATAAGCAGCCCTCCCTAAATTTTCATTTATCCATTAAAAAAGTTAAATAATTAGCCTGAAGAAAATAATGTACTATTTCACAATTAGTTAAAAAAAAAAAAAAGAAAAGTCTCCCAGGTAAATCTTTTTTGTAGAGAGGAACATGCTTTCTTAGCACTACCTAGTGATAAAGCTACAATTAAAATGTATCACAAAATTTGAACAGAAGCCAGGCACAGGCCTGTAATCCCAACACTTTGGGAGGCCAAGGCAGGCAGATCACCTGAGTTTGAGAGTTCGAGACCAGCCTGGCCAACATGGTAAAACCCCATCTCTGTTAAAAATACAAAAATGAGCCAGGCGTGGTGGCAAGCACCTGTGATTCCAGCTACTTGGGAGGCTGAGGCATGAGAACTGCTTGAACCTAGGAGGTGGAGGTTGCAGTGAGCTGAGATCGCGCCACTGCACTCCAGCCTAGGTAAGAGTGAAACTCTGTCTAAAAAGAAAGAAAAGAAAAATTGAACAGGAAAGAATTATTCATTAATTTAACATATTTCATAGGTGCCTACTATGAGCCAAGAGTTGAGAACAAGGTCAGGAGCAGTGGCTCACATATGTAATACCAGCACTTTAGGAGATTGAGGCTAGGAGTTTGAGACCAGCCTGGGCAACATGATGAAACCCTGTCCTCTACCAAAAATACAAGTTAGCCAGGCGTGGTGGCCACATGCCTGTAATCCCAGCAACTAGGGAGGCTGAGGCACAAGAATCACTTTAACCTGGGAGACAGAGGTTGCAGTGAACTGAGACTGTGTCATTGCACTCCAGCTTGGGTGACAGTGAGACTTCATCTCAAAAAAAAAAAAAAAATTGTCTTTTTAAGGAACCTTCTACAAAGATGTAACCTCATCCTTTACACGGTACTTGTATAATTAATAATAACTTCACACTTTTAAGGGTACTTCACTATTCACTCTAGAGATCACTTACAAAAATACAACTTGCTTTGTAAATAATTACAGAAATTCCCTGGGCCTCTTTTGTCATCTGGAGATAGCTCTACAGTATTTTCCAATAAACTATTGACAAAGAAGACTATTGAAGTCATAATCTCAGTTCTTTATTACTCCCCTAGTAAACAACTTCTTGAAAATAAATGACACTAAATATGGAGATTAAAAAACAGCATTCAAAACAAAATTAGCTGCAAAAATAACCCAGAAATTAATAATGGAAGGAAAAAGTCACATACCCATAAAACAATTATCTGAAGCTTCCTGCCATGCTTGCCCATTAATGCTGATATTCTCTTGCACAGCTGATTCAAAAGTCTGCAATAAATTCACAGTAGTCAAGTCACTAAAAATAATTTTAAATACTAAATTCAAACGTTTTAGCAAAATAATACTTCCAGATTTGTGACAGAGGAAATAAAAGTAGCAGAATAGCTAATTAGTATATCTATTCTTTTCAATGAAGATTCCACTTCAATCATTGATTCTACCTACATTTTGGGTCTCATAGCCATTATGCTACCCAAGAGAAAATCTGATTTAAAATTTTGGAATATTCTTATAAACAAACAAAAAAAAGTACTCCTAGAATGAAAGAAAAAATAAAATCTAACAAATTTAGGCTCAGTTGAATCTCAGGGGTATAAGTACTATATATGCTGCTGAATGACTGTTGATGTTAACAAGAGGGAAAACATACATGCTTAAAAATAAAATTATATTTTATAAAGGGCTGTATTTTTGAGAGATGAACACTTATGTAGCGATGAAATGACATGAGATCTAAGATATGCTTTAAAATAGCAAACGTAGGCCAGGTGCAGTGGCTCACGCCTATAATCCCATCACTTTGGGAAGCCAAGGCAAGAGGATTGCTTGAGGCCAGTTCCAGACCAGCCTAGGCAACACACTGAGACAACCTTCTCTACTAAAAAATTTAAAAATTAGCCAGGCACAGTGGCACATGCCTGTAGTCCCGGCTACTTGAAAGGCTGAGGCTAGAGGATTACTTGAGCCCAGTGGTTTGAGAATACAGTGAGCTATGATTGCCACTGTACTCCAGCCTGGGAGACAGAGGGAGAAGCAACTGTAACAAAATTTTGACAACTGTTGAGTTTGGTGGTGGATATATGGGTGTCCACTGTACTAAACTAATTTTTTGTAAGGTTGAAAATGTTCATAATACATTAAAAGATAAAGAACCAAAAAACAAAAAACAAAAACAAACAAAAAATAGACAAATTGGACTTCATCAAAATTTTTTTTAAATGATGGACTAAAGGAATTCGGCAGTACACATTTCCTATTACCCAACAATTTCACTTCTAGCAATGCATCCTAAAGGACTACTCTCATAAAAACTAAAGAGAATGTGCTAGAAATGTTCATTTCAGCACTGTTTGAAATTTTTAAAATTGTGGGAAAAAACCTAAAGTCAAAATTAGAAGAGTTAAATAGACAATATTCATACCACGCAGTACCTAAAAAGGATGAAGACAAGCTCTACGTAACACTAACAAATAATAGACATGTTTGGTTTCAAAAAAGGCAGGTCAATAACAATTCATCAGCATGACATTATTAATGGAGACAAACAAACATAAACAGAGAGAAAGAGGTAAAGCCACAGAAAGGGGGTATAGAAAGTTTACTCTCCCCAAGTACTCTCCAAAATAGTACCTTATGTCCTAGAAGGAAGAGGGATGGGGAAGGGGAACTCAAAGAATTTTGCTTTATGCTACTGTTTGAATTTTTTTATGAGCATATATTTTGTACCCTTTGTATAATTAAAAATAACATAAACCAAATTACTGATAATTATGAGTTAAAGTACATATTCTACATTTCAAAGATTTCATAAAGTAAAATCCTTATTTTATTTTTTGTTTGTTTGTTTTTTGTTTTTTTTGAGATGGAGTTTCACTCTTGTCAACCAGGCTGGAGTGCAATGGCGCAATCTTGGCTCACTGCAACCTCCGCTTCCCAGGTTCAAGCGATTCTCCTGCCTCAGTCTCCCGAATAGCTGGGATTACAGGCAAGCGCCATCACACCCGGCTAATTTTTGTATTTTTAGTATAGACAGGGTTTCACCGTGTTGGCCAGGCTGGTCTGGAACTCCTGACCTCAGGTGATCCGCCCGCCTCAGCCTCCCAAAGTGCTGGGATTACAGGCGTAAGCCATCGCGCCCGGCCTATGTATGTTTTAAAATTATTTTCTAGAATTACTTTCAAGAATTGCTGAGAAAACATATTGTCTTTGTAACATTCATTGCAGACTGCTACCAATACTGTTTTTAAAGAAAATCTGCTACTTAATATGCAGTTTTAAACAGAGATACAAAATAAAGCTTCTGCTTTATTTAAAATAAAACACAAGTGAATTCCTGTGGTAGTCTAAGCCCTGTAAACTTTATCTTATAATTCACTTTATCGTCCCACTAAATAGGATATAATAGGTTAAGCCAAGTTCCTCTTTTTCTGTAAGACACCTAAATGTTTTAAATACCTTAGCATTTCCTAGAATCAGACAAATTCTAAGATTATACAACAAAAGTCTTCTCCCAAAAAACTACTAAAAACGTCCTGAGATATATCCCTATTCTTGCCTTGCTTGCAAGGAGGGAATGACGTAAGAGTCACTATATACAAAACTACATACAGAGTCACAACCCAGGAAGTGTTTCTTCATTCTTCCACTGAACCTTTTTTTTTTGAGATGGAGTCTCGCTCTGTCACCCAGGCTGGAGTGCAGTGGCGAGATCTGGGCTCACTGCAAGCTCCGCCTCCCGGGTTCACGCCATTCTCCTGCCTCAGCCTCCCGAGTAGCTGGGACTACAGGTGCCTGCCACCATGGCCGGCTAATTTTTTGTATTATTATTATTATTGTTTTAGTAGAGACGGGGTTTCACCATGTTAGCCAGGATGGTCTCGATCTCCTGACCTCGTGATCCGCCCGCCTCGGCCTCCCAAAGTGCTGGGATTACAGGCGTGAGCCACCGCGCCCGACCCCTTTTGCCTGTTTTAGAGTGAAAACATTTTCTTTACAAGACTAAAATAGGTTAAAAAAAATTGTGTTGGTTGAAAACTTTACTAAGATCATACATTTGCCTCTATACCACATTTCCCAAGCCTTTCTTAAATATTTTTGCAAAGCCCTGAAGGTGGTAGTTTTTTGGGAACACAAGAAATAAAGGGATTGTGTGCTTCCTTATAACAGGCACCAATCTACTTATATTAGCGGAAAAAATTTAAAAGCTCATAATACCGCACATTTGTGAGTTATGAATGACCACAGTGCAAACAGTAAAAATAAAGGTTAATAGGCCGGGCGAGGTGGCTCACGCCTGTAATACCAGCACTTTGGGAGCCCAAGGCGGGCGGATCACGAGGTCAGGAGATCGAGACCATGCTGGCTAACACGGTGAAACCCTGTCTCTACTAAAAACACAAAAAAATTAGCCGGGCGTGGTGGCAGGCGCCTGGAGTCCCAGCTACTCAGGAGGCTGAGGCAGGAGAATGGCGTGAACCCAGGAGGCGGAGCTTGCAGTGAGCCGAGATCGCGCCACTGCACTCCAGCCTGGGCGACAGAGCGAGACTCTGTCTCAAAAAAAAAAAATAAAATAAAATAAATAAATAAATAAAACATGCAAAAGGAAAGATCAAATGCTGCTTGGGTGAATGGCTGACTTCCAGAATTACCCTTTCCAGGAGAATTCCTCATTGTCTGCGGCTGCATTGTCCAACAGGTGAGCCACTAGCCACTTTGTAGTTACTGAGCGCTTAAATGTAACTAGTTCGAAGATGTGCCGTAAATGCAGCACACCAGATTTGAAAAGCTTAGTACGAACAAAAGAATGTAAAATATCTCATTCATTTGATATTATTACATGTTAAAATACCTTGGATTTATTGGGTTAAACAAAATGTCTTATTTCCATTAACTTCACCTATTTCTTACTTTTAGTTTAAAACTACATAAAGATTAGCTTGCCTTGTATTTTCACTGGACAGCGCTGGTCTAAGTAATTAATAAGACCCAGCTGACATTAGCATCTATTTCTTTCTCCTCTAGCGTTTCTCGAACTGGTTCTACAGTAGCCTGGGGCACCGTTAATTCTGCCAAGGCCTGGCGTGGGATCTTTCTGAATCCTAAGATCCTGGGTGTTGGGTAAGAGGATGATGAGTAAAGAACTGGCTAACTGGTCCCGTACCCACTGCGCATCTCGCAGAGCGGGCTCCCGAATCTCCTCCGGCAGAGCGTCCCCGAGCTTTTGCACGAAGCGGCCGCACAGTTGTAGCATTTCGGTCACAGCCCGCTTCGAGGTGCAGCGCACCCGAAAGTCTTCTCGGGGAGTGGCGGAGACCAAGGCCTGGCTCTCTGTGCCAGCCGCGAGCTCCTTGTCCCATGGAGGGTCAAGGACCACCAACTCAGGAGACCCCGCCATTTTTCGTCGGAACTGTGGGCGGGGCACTCTGGGAGCGGAAAAGCGGGTTCACACTGGTGTAACCAGCATGCATCCGGCTGGAAACTCAGGACGCTGCAGCTGAAACGTTCCGGCTCCGGCTCTGCTGGCCGGTCTAAAGCGGCAGCCGCCGGGGCGCAATGCGAGCGGCTGGCGTAGGCTTGGTGGACTGTCACTGCCACCTCTCCGCCCCGGACTTTGACCGCGTATGTGAGGGCGATACGGGACCAGAGGGAGCAGGGAGGCCCCCGTCCTTTCCCCTCGTGTTATCTTTGCTCTCCTCCCTTGGGACGAAACCCCATATCCCCCGCCCAGACCCTTGTTTATGGCCATATGACCTTGCCCCTCATTTCCCTATTCCCTATTTAACCTCAGACATACCGATTTTTTTTTCCTGATTCAGTAGCGGTAAGCTATCTCCACAAGGCTTTTGTTTGCTCTTCTGAGTTCCTGGAATCGTTCCCTCACTCCCCTTGGCTGGCCTGTTTTTCCCCTCGGGGCTCTCACCTCCTGGCTGAGATGCCACTCTTTGTGGGAAGCGGTCCTCGAAACGCGTTCAAATCGGGGAGAGGTCGGGCGCGGGCTCACGCCCGTAATCCCAGCACTTTGGGAGGCCGAGGCGGGCGCTGCGCATCTCCTGTGTCCAGGAGATCGTGACCAGCCTGGGCAACATGGTGAAACCTCGTCCCTACAAAAAAAAAAAAAAAGCCGGTGATTGTGGCGTTTGCCTGTGGTCCCAGCTACTCGGGAGGCTGAGGTGGGAGAATCGCTGGAGCCCAGGAGGTGGAGGTTGCAGTGAGCTGACATCAAGCCACTGCACTCCAGCCTGGGTAACAGTGAGACCCTGTCTCAAAAAAAAAAAAAAAAAAAAATTCACAAATGGGGGAGAGAGGCAAACAAACAAACAAAAATACATGGCCGAGTGTGGTTGCTCACACTTGTAATCCTAGCACTATGAGAGGCCGAAGTGGGTGGATCGCTTGAGCCCAGGAGTTTGAGACCAGCCTGGGCAATGTGGTGAGACCCCGTCTCAATTAAAATAATAATACACACGTAAAATCAGTTACAAACTGTTTTACCCATTACGTGGGAAACTAGAGACTAATAATAGAGGATTAAGGGGGGTTTTATTTCAGGGGGAAATCCTCCCAGGAGCTGACACTTAAGGCTGAAAAGACAAGGAGCCACCCAAGCAAGGGGGTGAGTGTATGCTGGTTAGGGAAACAGATAGGTTGCAGGCCCCCAGACAAGCTAGAATTTGGCACATTTCAGTTGCCAAAAAGCTAAGTGGAGCCTGATGAGCTAGAAAGAGAAAGGCATGAAACAAAACTGGGGAGGTTTGCAGGGGATAGATGAGGTGGGTCAGTAAGGAATTTGGATTGCATTTGAAGCACAATGCAGATTCATTAAAGGGCTTTTTTAAAATTTATTTTCATTTTTTTATTTTTTTAGATTGAGTCTGGCTGTGTCCCTCAGGCTGAAATGCAATAGCATGATCTCAGGTCATTGCAACCTCCACCTCCTGGGCTCAAAAAATTCTCCTGTCTCAGCCTCCCAAGTAGCTGGGATCACAGGTGTGTCCCACCACGCCTGGCTAATTTTTTGTATTTTTAATAGAGACAGAGTTTTGCCATGTTGTCCAGGCTGGTCTTGAACTTCTGGCCTCAAGTGATCAACCCTCCTTGGCCTCCCAAAGTCCTGGGATTACACAAAAATGGATAGGCATGATGCTATCCATTTTAACACCATTTTGCTGCTGTATGGCAAATGGGTGGAGGAGAAGAGTGGAAGCTACAAGACTAGTTAGGAGGCTTTTGCAGTATATAGGCAAGAGATGTTGGCTGTTGGTACTATGATGATAGCAGGTGAGTTTGAGATGAATACATGGATTCAAGATACATTTTAGAGAGAGAATCCACAGTAAGTACTGAAGAATTGGATGTGGATAGCAAGGGAAAGGGAGGAGTCAAGGATGACTCAGATTATTAGCTTGTGCTATAGGGAAGATGGTGGTGCTGGTTTACTGAGATAAGGGAAGACCAAGGTCTGAGGTGGAGGTGGGGAGGTCAGCAGAAGGAATAGGTTTGTGGGGAGAAAATAAAGATTTATGTTTGGGGCATATTGGGAAACCTAATCCCATCCAAATGAAGATGTCATAATTTTTAAACATGAGTCATGGGCTCAGGAGAGAATTACAAGCTAAAGATAAAAATTGGGGGCCGGGCGCAGTGGCTCATGCCTGTAATCTCAGCACTTTGGGAGGCCGAGGTGGGCAGATCATAAGGTTAGGAGATCGAGACCATCCTGGCTAACATGGTGAAACCCTGTCGCTACTAAAAGTACAAAAAAATTAGCTGGGCATGGCAGCATGTGCCTGTAGTCCCAGCTACTTGGGAGGCTGAGGCAGGAGAATGGTGTGAACCCGGGAGGCGGAGCTTGCAGTGAGCCGAGATCGTGACACTGCACTCCAGCCTGGGTGACAGAGCGAGACTCCATCTCAAAAAAAAAAAAAAAAATTGGGGACTCAGGCTGGGTTCGATGGCTCACACCTGTAGTCCCAGCACTTTGGGAGGCCAAGGTGGGTGGGTCACCTGAGATCAGGAGTTAAAGACCAGCTTGGCCAACATGGTGAAACACCATCTCTACTAAAAATACAAAATTTAGCTGAGTGTGGTGGCGGTCACCTGTAATCCCAGCTACTCTGGAGGCTGAAGCAGGAGAATCACTTGAACCCGGGTGGCAGAGGTGGCAATGAGCCGAGATCGCACCATTGCACTACAGCTGGGAGACAAGAGTGAAACTTCATCTCAAAAAAAAGAAAAAAAATGGGGGCCTCAGCATAATGATGATAAAACCATGAGAGGAAGTGAAATCACTCAAGGCAAGTGCAGAGAGAGGAGCAGATGTTCTTGAAGTCTGAAAGAGGAAGGGGAGCTAGTCAAGGAGACTGACAAGTAGCCACCAATGAGAGAGTGGTATTGCAGAAGTGAAGGGTGGAAAGCATTTCAAGAAGGAAGGAGTAAGCAAGTGAGGGATTCCGAATGCTGCTGAGGAGTAGAGTAAGATGAGGACAGAGAAATACCCTGTATATTTGACAATAGAGGCTTCTGTTTTAGTGCTGGGAACAGTAGCCAGACTTTACTGATAGTAAGAGTAAACAGGAAGTGGGTCAGTGTAGGCTCTTTGTTTTCCACCACTCCATTAGTTGCTATCATTGTTATTTTTTGTGATGCCACAACTACATTGACATATACAGTCCAAGATTAGCTGCTTATTCATCTAAAATAATGGTGATTTCTTATGCTTGTTTTAGGATTTGGATGATGTGTTGGAGAAAGCCAAGAAGGTAAGTCAATATTTGTAATTGCTCTTTTGGTTTTTTATTTTAACTATCATTTCAAGCCAAAACAGCTTGAAATTTAGATATACTACCTTGATGTTTCAGTAGTTTATAGTAAGTAGCATTTTTTATTT
This sequence comes from Homo sapiens, assembly GCF_000001405.40. Lineage (NCBI taxonomy): Eukaryota > Metazoa > Chordata > Mammalia > Primates > Hominidae > Homo > Homo sapiens. Next base: position 212,795,256 of record NC_000001.11, read on the forward strand.
TTATTATTTTATTTATTTATTTATTTATTTATTGAGACAGAGTCTCGCTCTGTCGCCCAGGCTGGAGTGCAGTCGTGTGATCTTAGCTCACTGCAACCTCTGCCTCCAAGGTTCAAGTGATTCTCCTGCCTCAGCCTCCTGAGTAGCTGGGACTATAGGCACACGTCACTGCACCCAGATAATTTTTGTATTTTTAGTAGAGACAGGGTTTCACCATGTTGGCCAGGCTGGTCTTGAACTCCTGACCTGAGGTGATCTGCCCACCTCGACCTCCCAAAGTGCTGAGATTGCAGGCGTGACCCACTACGACCAGCCAATTTTTATTATTTATAATTAAAATAGAGACAAGATCTGACTATATTGCCCAGGCTGGTGTCAAACTTCTGAGCTCAAGCAATCTACCCACCTTGGGCTCCCAAAATGCTGGGATTATAGGCATGCGGCACTGCTCCCAGCCTAAGTAGCATTTATTAAGTGTTTGCTACATGCCAGGTAGTGAGCTAAGGCCTTTCTCGACTTTACCTCATTCAATGTTTCACAATAGCCTTCTGAGGAAATTACTAATTTATAGCCAATCATTCCCCATTTTTATAGATGAGGAATCTAAGGCCTAGAGATGAGTAACTGGTCCAAAGACACATGCTAGTGAACTGATAGAGACAAGTTAGTCTGAATTCAAAACATGTTCCTATAGCTACCATGCTCAACAGCCCTATGGAACAAATTGGTCCATCTTTCAGTTTTTAAATTCATGTGGTTCTGGAGATCTGGGATATATTATTAAAGTTTTCTGAGATGTTTTGATTTGCTTAGAAAAATTATTTTTTTGGAAGTGTTTATGAAATTCATTGTAACTAGCATTTTGTGGCCATCTCAAAAAATGATACAGCCAGAAATGGTTGTAGTGCATTTTTACATACAGGTAACTTTCACTGTGGCAGCTTAATTAGGAATGTGGGCTTTGGACATATATAGACCTGATGACCTTGGGCAAGTTATTCGACATCCAAAACTCTGTCTCCTGATCTATACAGTAGACTATAGCCTACTTTATAGGTTTCTGTAAATTAAATGAGGCAATATTTATATTCACTGAACATAAGGTCTGAAACATAGTAAATACTCAATGATAGCCCTTCTGATTGTATTGATGAAGCATGGCTGAACAAGGATAACTAAAATGCAGAGAAAACTTTAAAATTTTCTATAATTTATATTAAATGTATATTGTTTGTAACTTTATTCTTTTTTTTTTTTTCAGGCCAATGTTGTGGCCCTTGTGGCAGTTGCCGAACATTCAGGAGAATTTGAAAAGATTATGCAACTTTCAGAAAGGTGCTACTTTTAATTAAGATTTTAAAGGGTTGCTAATAAGAACACAGTTATGACATCCAGTTTATAATATCAAAGATCCATTTTTAAAGAGAATAAAGAGGAAAAAGCATTTTAACATAGCCCTAAAGAGATTATTTTCTACTTATTCCTTTTTTTTTTCTTTGAGAGATGGAGTCTTGCTCTGTCACCCAAGCTGGAGTGCAGTGGCGCAATGTTGGCTCACTGCAACCTCTGCCTCCTGGTTTCAAGCAATTCTCTGCCTCAGCCTCCCAAGTAGCTGGGTCTAAAGCATGCACCACCAGGCCTGGCTAATTTTTATATTTTTTGTAGATACAGGATTTCACCATGTTGGCCAGGCTGGTCTCAAACTCCTGGCCTTAAGTGATCCACCTGGTTCAGCCTCCCAAAGTGCTGGAATTACAGACATAAGCCACCATGCCCGACCTCTACTTATTCTTTAGAATACGTTGTAATCTACTAGTCTACTGTTCCTGCTTTCTCAGTTGGTTCTACATTTTTAGGTATAATGGGTTTGTCCTGCCATGCTTGGGTGTTCATCCAGTTCAAGGACTTCCACCAGAAGACCAAAGAAGTGTCACACTAAAGGTAACAGTCATACAAAACAGGAACCATTAAAAACAAACAAACGAAAGAATTATTTGACTCAGTAATCCTCCTCTTTCTAATTTATATTCTCAGGAAATAATCCAAAAGAAGGAAACATTACCTTCTTTAACAAAGATGTTTGTTGCAACATTATTCGTAATAGAGAAAAAGTAGAAACAGCCTAGAGGTTCAGAAACAAAGGAATCATTAGTTAAGTTGTAGAGTGTTAAATATAATGCATTTATAGAAAATGAGGATTATAAAGTATTATAGCACATGGAAAATACTTACTGTATAATATAGGGAGAAAAGCAGGATACCAAATAGCATATTCACTATGAGTGACATCTACATAAGCATATATTCATAAGGAAAAGACTGCAGAGAAAACACAGAAATGATAGTAATTGTGATGATCTGTTAGAATTATCTGTAACTTTTTTCACATTTTTTTGGTACTGTAGTCATGTTGCTTTGGCAAAAAAGTGATAGAATATCTAGAAAAAGAAAGATACAAATTCAGAGGTGCCATATACTATTAGGGAACAGATTAGTTCAAGTAAGTAGTATTATCTTTGAACATAGAACCATTGTTACAGGATTGCTCTCCAGCTATTAAATTGCACTGATTTTGTACCCTCTCTAAAAACATCCTACCCGCACTGACTCACGATAGTTGGTATGTCTTATATTTCACACTTGTCTCCTGACTCAGCATCAGGAAGATCCACAGTTTCATGAGTGTTTTATTGCATAATGGGTTTGATAGCCCCATTTCAAAGAAGTAATGACTTTTTGTTACCTATGAATAAATTAAGATATAGTGCCATTTAAAAAATAATAATGTAGGCTGGACACAGTGGCTCGTGCCTGTAATCCCAGCACTTTGGTAGGCTGAGGTGGGTGGATCATGAGGTCAGGAGATTGAGACCTTCCTGGCTAACATGGTGAAACCCTGTCTGTACTAAAAATACAAAAACTTATCCAGGTGTGGTGGCGTGCACCTGTAGTCCCAGCTACTCGGGAGACTAAGGTGGGAGAATCGTTTGAACCCAGGAGGCGAAGATTGTAGTAAGCTGAGATTGCTCCAGTGCACTCCAGCCTGGGTGACAGAGTGAGACTCCATCTCAAAAAAAAAATAATAATAATAATGTATCTCTCTTCCTATATTAAGATACCTTAGGTAGCTAGCTCTACTTATTTCAAAATAAAATTCATGACCAGGCATGGTGGCTCACACCTGTAATCCTAACACTTTGGGAGGCCGAGATGGGAGGACCACTTGAGCTCAGGAGTTCAAGACCAGCCTGGGCAACATGGACGCTATCTCTCAAAAACTCAAAAAAAAAAAAAAAAAAAAAAGAAAAGAAAATTCATTCATTTCAGGTAAAAATGCTTATCCTGTAGCTATCCTGAATTGTTAAGTATGATAAAATTAGCTACATTGCCAATCACAATTCTACAAATGTGGAATCATAGCAAGGCAGCACTTCTTTCATTTATGTGGGGATTTATACTAATAGACATTCATTTAGTTAGGTAGTCAACCAGTGTGTACTGAGCACCTGCTACATGCCAGGCACTGCTGTCAGCACTGCAGACCCAATAATGAGTAAGATCCTGCTCATGGAAGCTAGATTCTAGATGGCCCAGACAGACAGTCAACAATTACATGAGCAGGAAAACTTTCGATAGCACTAAGTGCTTTGAAGACAGTAAAACAAGATTATATAGTAGGTGTTGTGAATGCTGATTGTTAGATGATATCATCAAGGAAGGACTCTGGTAGTGACAATTGAGCTGCAACCTGAATGCTACAAAGGAACTGGCCATGCAAAGAGAGGATCAGGGTGTTATGTGCAAAGGAAACAGCAAAGCACAAAGGTCCCAAGGTAGGAATAAGCTCAGTGTAGTCAAGAAACAGAAAGAGGGCTCATATGGCTAGAGAAAGAGAGGAAGTGATAGTGATGGGGTAAGAGGGATGGGTGGAGATCTCATACAGGACCTTGTTGGATTTTAGTTTACATGCAGTGGAGGGTTTAATGTGAGAAGTACCAAGACGTAATTTATGTTTTAAAAAGATCCTCTTGGCTCTGGCCAAAATGAGTTTGGTGAAGAAAAAAAACCCCTTGGCTAAGGTATGAAGAGTGAGTTTTGAAGAGGGTAAAAAATGAAAAGGGGAAAAAGTTAGAAGGCTACAAATGATGCTGGATGGGACCAGAGTACTAGCATTGGAGGTAGAGAAATGGGTGGATTTGGCATATATTTGGCATTAATATAGAATTGATTGGACTGGTTAACTTACCAAAGTAATTAATATGCCAACAGTATGATAGGTACTTCTTTTTTTTTTTTTTTTGAGATAGAATCTTGCTCTGTCACCCAGGCTGCAGTGCAGTGGCGCCATCTCGGCTCACTGCAGCCTCCGCCTCCCTGGTTCAAGTGATTCTCGTGCCTCAGCCTCCTGAGTAGCTGGGATTACAGGCATGCACCACTACACCCGGCTAATTTTTTGTATTTTTAGTAGAGTTGGGGTTTTGCCATGTTGGCCAGGCTGGTCTCAAACTCCTGGCCTCAAGTGATCCACCTGCCTTGGCCTCCCAAAGTGCTGGGATTATAGGTGTGAGCCACCACACCCGGCCAATAGGTAATTCTTGATTATCAAAGCAGATATGAACTTATCAAATGTTGTGATAATACTCTGGAATAGACTAGAGATGAGCAGAGTTAGCCCTATTTTATTCCAGTTGCACTTGTAGTCCATACTGCAGTTTAGTTTTCTCCTGCTGATTAGATTATAAACCCCTTTAAAACAGGAAGTATGCCTCATTGCACCTTTACAGGCTTCTAAAATATGTGGTACAAAGCTAGGTATGTAGTAAGTATTCATCAAATTAACTTGTTTTATAAGATGAATTACCTAGTATCACACAAACCTTTTAACATATTCCTGAATTAATTAATTCATTCAATAAATACTATTACCAGGCACAGTTTAGGCACTGGGGATAAACCACAATGAACTGTGGTGAACAAATGATGCTGGACGGGACCAGAGTACTAGCATTGGAGGTAGAGAAATGGGTGGATTTGGCATATATTTGGCATTAATATAGAATTGATTGGACTGGTTAACTTACCAAAGTAATTAATATGCCAACAGTATGATAGGTACTTCTTTTTTTTTTTTTTTTTGAGATAGAATCTTGCTCTGTCACCCAGGCTGGAGTGCAGTGGCGCCATAATACAATTCACTGGCGGCATTCTGCTGCCCCTGCATGGAGGGTATTTGCTCTCCAGTTAGCTACTGTTTCTACTTGTTCCACTTTACTAATTTCTGTTAAACACTTGACCCCTGTTCTAAAGGTTCTGAAGACTAAACATTTTCTATAATAAAAAAATCTATTGTAATTATTTAAAATCATTCTGAATAAATCTCTTCTCCTCCTTTGATCCCTTTTGCCCTCCTTCCTTCTTTCATTCATTCCCTTTTTTGTCCCTTCTTCCTTTCTTCTTTCAGCAGCATGGTGGAAACAGCATGCATGAGCTTTGAAGTCAGAGGGACCTGGCCTACTGACTTCTGTGATCTGTGGCACATTACTTACCTTTGCCAAGTCTGATTTCCTCATTTGTAAATAATGAATAATTATATAGTAGTATTATGCCCAATCATAAGGTATAGGGGTATGTAATCTTTTTTTTTTTTTTTTACAAAAACCGTAATAGGGTGGGGTGCCATGGCTGACTCCTGTAATCCCATCACTTTGGGAGGCTGAGGTGGGAAGATTGCTTGAGGCCAGAAGTTGGAGACCAGCCTAGGCAACATACACAAAAATTTAAAATGTTAGCCAGGCATGGTGGCATGTGCCTATAGTCCCAGCTACTCGAGAGGCTGAGATGGGAGAATCACTTGAGCCCAGGAGTTCAAGGCTGCAGTGAGCTATGATCGCACCACTGCACACTCCAGCCTGGGTCACAAACTGAGACCCTATCTTTAAAAAAAAAACAAAAACACAAAAGTATAATAGAACCATTAGCTGTTAAGGAACTTGAGACCTTATGAAGGGAGTGGGGATAGAACTGAGGGCAGAAATAGACCTGTAAATAGCCTTATAAATATGTTTACATCTACTAAAATAAAATGACAAAGACCACACACACAAATAAATTTGTACATATTAAATAAGTAATATGAATTATATTCTACTATTAATTTCTACTTATCATTCTTGACTTGCTGAAAGCTTCCAGATCTATTTTATTAGGAGTTTGAATAGTCTCACTGTAAATCTGTTTTGCTTTTTCATAGGTAATACATATTCCAAGAGGCATGGTTTTTTCTTCATCTGATCTTCCTCCAACTGTGTAATTTCTGTGACTCAGGCTTTCTAAGTGTTAGACATTTCCTGGGTGATTTCTCCTACTTCTCCAGTCCCTCTGAGATCTCAGAGACATACAGTAGTTTGGATGTGTGATATGGAAAAAGCTTTGCCTGGAACTGTTTAACCTACTCAGCTTGTTGTCAAATAGCTTTTCTGACATCTAGGGTCATATACCCATCATTTTTCATGACAATGTTAATTCTTCTTCCAGTCTACTAGAATATATTTCAAGTCTACTAGAATATATTTCAAGTCTACTAGAATATATTTCAAGGCCTTAACTTACCCTCCTTCATCTTTGTTCTCTCTCTCTCATAGTTGTAAAATCTACTCCTGTTCCTCTATCATCTGCTTTACCTTCCTTTTCTTAATTCTCTCTTGTTCTGATTATCCTCAGGAGAAATGCTTTGCAATTTATATATCCTGAAACTAAAATTTGCAATGTAGTCTAAAAGGTATCTAGAAGCAATTTTCCATATATTTATTTTCCCTGCCTAAGAAGGGAACCCTACAGGGCAAATTCTCCTCAGTGGAAAAGGTAATATCATTGAAACTAATGGTACACAGCTACTTCAATATTTAACAAGCATATATGAGATACTCATTGTTTATATTGCTGGGCATCTAGAACAAGTAGTCAAAGCAGGGCTATAAAGACAAATGAAATCAGTGAAAACAGTGCAAAGGAAGTATGGGATTATCATTATAAACTCACCAACCAGACGAATTCTAAGGGGAGAACACAACAATGCAATCGCAAAGCTCACATGCAGAGATGACTCCCTGGTGGTTTGCCTCTCTTTTTCTTAGTGATTTCAGAATGTCCAAATGCCTCCTAAATGTCAGGAAATACCTCCCAAACAGAAGGCCATGTTTAAGTGGCGCTCTTCATAAAAAGTCATATTCTTGTAACCCGAATGGGTATGGGATATGTTTCTACTCAAACTTACAGGTAGAGGTACTCACCATTTTAGAAGGATTACTATTGGTAGTTTTTTGACTGCTTAAATGGATTAAATGTATGTAAAGCACCAGGATGGCATAGCACCTAGCACATAATAGGAGCTTGTGAAATAGCAGTTCCTTTCTTCCATTTTAACAATTTTACTTTTTTTCTCCCAGGATTTGGATGTAGCTTTGCCCATTATTGAGAATTATAAGGATCGGTTGTTGGCAATTGGAGAGGTAAACACCCACTAACTGATCAAACAGCTTCTAATTCAGACTTCTATATGATATATGAAAATAATCTTTAGTTCAGTATTGGTGATTATAACTGACTTGTATAATTATGTTCACCCCACTTAGCCAAATAATAATTCGTTGATACTTCTTTAATAAGCAAGAAAGCTTGGGGATGAAACAATCAAAAGCCTTACCATAGGCCTACCTTAATTGGAGAAAAATAATAGCATTTCTAAATACTTTGCTTTTTTTTTCTTATGCTTAAATATGGGTCCTTGCTCTGGTGAGTTAATATAGTATCTATAATTCTTCATAAGTAATTTAGAAACACACTTTAAATGGGCTAGAGTTTGTAATTAAAGAACTTTTTTATTTAAATAATTTATAATTGTGAATTTTTTTTTTTTTTTTTGAGACAGAACCTTGCTCTGTCACCTAGGCTGGAGTACAGTGGTACAATCCCAGCTGGAGTGCAGTGGCGCAATCTCGGCTCACTGCAACCTCTGCCTCCCAGGTTCAAGTGGTTCTCCTGCCTCAGCCTCCCTACTAGCTGGGATTACAGGCATGCACCACCAACCCAGCTAATTTTTTTGTATTTTTAGTAGAGACGGGGTTTCACCATGTTGGCCAGGCTGGTCTTGGACACCTGGCCTCAAGTAATCCACCCACCTTCGCCTCCCAAAGTGCTGGGATTACAGGCTTGAGCAATCGTGCCCGGCCAATTGTGAAATATTTTTATTACTTGGTAATAAATTCCATTTTTAATTAGAGACAAAAGATAAGAATAACACTTAAATTCAGAATATAGATTATAGAATGCATGCCAAAATAGTCCCAGGAGGAGTCATCTATAGTCTGTGCCGTCCAATATAGTGGCCACTTAACGGCTTCTGAGCATTTGAAATGTGACTGCTCTGAATTAAGATGTGTTGTAAGTGTAAAATACACTGTGTATTTCAAAGTTTTAGTACCAAAAAGAAAAAAAAAAAAGGCTGGGCACAGTGGTTCACACCTGTAATCCCAGCACCTTGGGAGGCTAAGGCGGGCTGATCACTTGAGGTCAGGAATTTGAGACCAGCCTGACCAACATGGTAAAACCTTGTCTCTACTAAAAACACAAAAATTAGCCGGGCGTGGTAGCAGGCACCTGTAATCCCAGCTACTCAGGAAGCTGAGGCAAGAGAATCGCCTGAACCCAGGAGGCAGAGGTTGAAGTGAGCCGAGATCACGCCACTGCACTCCATCCTGGGCAACAGAGCCACACTCCGTCTCAACAAAACAAACAAAAAAAAAGGAATATAAAATAACTCAATATTTTATATTGGCTACATGTTTAAAATAATAATATTTGGGATATATTGGGTTAAAGTATATTATTAAGATTGATTTCACCTGTTTTTGTGAATATTTTTAATGTGGCTACTAGAATTAATATTTTTATGTGGCTTGCTTTTGTGCCTCACATTATATATTTCTATTGGATAGCATCAATCCAAAGATCTCTTTTGAGGTTCCTTAAACCTAAATATGTAATATCTTTTATTTTTCTGCTCTAGGTTGGACTAGATTTCTCCCCCAGATTTGCTGGCACTGGTGAACAGAAGGAAGAGCAAAGACAAGTCCTAATCAGACAGATCCAGTTAGCCAAAAGACTAAATTTGCCTGTGTAGGTTAATTATTTTCCTATGTTAATAGCTATAGAGCAAATTAAATAATGATCAGAGTTCTCCTGAAATGGAACTCTACATTTATTTTTCTCCAAACTACTTTAATAGATCAAAAACAATACTTTCAGAATGGTACTTAAAAGAAATGTTGTTATCGTTAAACAGAAATGTGCACTCACGCTCTGCTGGAAGACCTACCATCAACCTTTTACAAGAGCAAGGTATTTCGTTTCCTGAGAAAAATAGGCCTAATGTTCAAGTTTGACAATTCCAGTTTATGTTCTCATAAAGCAAGCCATGTTTTAATCTGATTTCTTGAAGGGCAGGGGCAAGAAGGGGGGCAGAAATCATCTAAGATGATGTTGCAGGTCAGGCTATTGTTTACAAGGTTTTCAGTGTAATTATGATATTTCCCAGGCCCAGATAGAGTAAATGAAAAGTTGAATACAATAATTTATGTCCCTTAATTTAAAAATTAGCAGCTTCATAAAAAACAAAACAAAACAAAATTAGCAGCTCCAGTTTCTTTTATTTATTTATTTATTTTTTGAGACGGAGTCTCACTCTGTTGCCCAGGCTGGAATGCAGTGGCACAATCTCAGCTCACTGCAACCTCTGCCTCCTGGGTTCAAGCAATTATCCTGCCTCAGCCTCCCATGTAGCTGAGATTACAGGCACCCACTATCACATCCAGCTAATTTTTATATTTTTAGTAGAGCTGGGGTTTTGCCATGTTGGCCAGGCTGGTCTCGAACTCCTGACCTCAAGTGATCCACCCGCCTCAGCCTGCCAAAGTGCTGAGATTACAGGATGAGCCACCGTGCCCACCCTATTTTATTTTTTGAGACACAGTCTCACTCTGTTGCCCAGGCTGGAGTGCAGTGGCGCAATCTTGGCTCACTGCAACCTCCACCTCCTGGGTTCAAGCTATTCTTCTGCTTCAGCATCCCAAGTAGCTAGCATTACAGGTGCGTGCCACCACACCCAGCTAATTTTTGTATTTTTAGTAGAGATGGGGTTTCACGATGTTGGCCAGGCTGGTCTTGAACTCCTGACCTCAGGTGATCCACACGCCTCGGCCTCCCAAAGTGCTGGGATTACAGGCGTGAGCGACTGTGCCTGGCCAGCAGCTCCAGTTTCTTAATCAGCTCAATCAGCTGATTAATGGGGAAAAGGTTAAAAAAAAGAAGGGCAATCACAGCAATCACATTGCGTCACTGTTTTTTTATGTTTTATAGCTGCTACTTCAGAAATGCAGAATTTACAGAAATGCAGAAATACAGATTTTGGCCATCATACATACACACTCTCTTCTTTGCCAGTTGTTCCTAAAGTAAAATTACATCTTATGGCATTATTTTTCAATATTTTAAAGGTGCCATCCGCAGTAAGAAATATAGTTTATTTTGAGACTCATATTTACATAAAGAAAGCTAACAAAAGTTTAACAAGCAATCCACATATGTGTGTGTACGTATAGGTATGTAAGTGTGTGCTACATACACACATACATATAAGCACTCATTGGTTGTGCTTATGAAACTAAACTAAGTTGGTTTCATAACTCACTTATGTTCAGAACCGTCTAATAGTCATTCATACCATTTGAAAAAACTCTGTCAAATAATAAAGTAAATGAAATTGCCTGCAACTAGAAATCAGTGATGAATAGTTCTGGAGTCACTGAAAGCATGATTTTTATGCAGGCTGAGCAGCTACCCTTTAATAACTGGGGATAGTTTTATGAAGTCCACTCTGACTATTGAGTTTGTGTCACTTAGTTCCCCATTTCTTCTTTCACTAGCATTTTTGTTAAGATAATCCATTTGACTGCTTAAAAACCTCCTGTTAGAAACAATTAGCTCACAGACTTCTAGAAAAGGTCTGATGGTGCAGAAAATTTATATTTGTCTTTAAAATTGAATATTTCTCTCTCTCTTTTTTTTTTTTTTTTTTTTGAGACTGGGTCTGACACTGTTGCCCAGGCTGGATTGCAGTGGGGCGATCTCTGCTCACTGCAACCTCCACCTCCTGGGCTCAAGAGATCCTCCCACTTCAGCCCCACAAGTAGCTGGGACTATGGGCACACACCACCACACCCTGCTAATTCTTTTGTGTGTATTTTTCGTAGAAACTGGGTTTCACCATGTTGCCCAGGCTGGTCTCAAACTCCTGAGCTCGCTCAAGAGATCCTCCCATCTCAGCATCCCAGAGTGCTGGGATTACAGACATGAGCCACTGTGCCTGGCCAACATTATTGAATATTTCAATTTTATTCTGAAGATTAAGAATTTATTCTCTCTCTCTCTCTCTCTCCATATATATATATATATATATATATATATATATATATACACACACACACACACATATATACACATATATACACATATATACATATATATACATATATACACATATATACATATGTATATACACATATATACATATGTATATACACATATATACATATGTATATACACATATATACATATATATATATTTATTTATTTTATTTATTTATTTTTTTTGAGATGGAGTCTCACTCTGTCGCCCAGGCTGGAGTACAGTGGCACAATCTTGGCTCACTGCAACCTCTGCCTCCCAGGTTCAAGTGACTCTCCTGCCTCAGCCTCCCAAGTAGCTGGGATTACAGGTGCCTGCCACTACGCCCAGCTAATTTTTTTGTATTTTTAGTAGAGATGGGGTTTCACCATGCTAGTCAGGCTTGTCTTGAACTCCTGACCTCAGGTGATCGCCCACCTCGGCCTCCCAAAGTGCTGGGATTACAGACGTGAGCCACTGCGCCCGGACTATATGTTTTTATTAGTTTATTTTTTGAGACAGAGTCTCACTCCGATGCCCAGCCTAGAGTGCAGTGGTGCGATCACAGCTCACTGCAGCCTTGACATCTCAGACTCAGGTGATCCTCCCACCTTAGCTTCCCGAGTAGCTGGGACTACAGGCCTGCACCACCATGCCCAGCTAAATTTTGTATTTTTTGTAGAGACGGGGTTTCACCATGTTGGCCAGGCTGGTTTCGAACTCCTGGGCTCAAGTGATCTGCCTGCCTTGGCCTCCTAAAGTTCTGGGATTACAAGTGTGAGCCACTGTGCCTGGCCTAAAATTTACTATATTTTTATTCCACTCTTTGAACACCGTACATTTATCCGCCCTTTAGAAGTTATAGAACCTCTTGTTTATATCCTAGTGACCAACATTTACTTAAAATTTCAGACTTCTGTTATTTAATTTGATTGATGGGACATAAAATGGAATACTGCCTTATCTTTCATTTTTGAAAGGTGCTGAGAAGGTACTGCTGCATGCATTTGATGGTCGGCCATCTGTAGCCATGGAAGGAGTAAGAGCTGGGTACTTCTTCTCAATTCCCCCTTCTATCATAAGAAGTGGACAGGTAAATTTTTTCATTGAAACTCATCTAATACTTATGAAATAAAATTTAAAACATGAGCTTTTCTTCCATACTTGTGATACTATTCTAGTTACATTACAAAAATTAATCTTAGGTCTCTACCTCACATATATATAAAAATGAACTCAGAAATTGATCAAAGACTTAAATATAAAACCAAATAAGGCCAGGCTCAGGGGCTCACGCTTGTAATCCCAGCACTTTGGAAGGCTGAAGCGGGTAGATCACCTGAGGCCAGGAGTTCGAAACCAGCCTGGCCAACATGGTGAAACCCCGTCCCTACTAAAAATACAAAAATTAGCTGGGCGTGGTGGCATGTGCTTGTAATCCCAGCTACTTGGGAGGGTGAGGCAGGAGAATCGCTTGAACCAGGAGGTGGAGGTTGCAGTGAGCCAAGATCAAGCCATTGCACTCCAGCCTGGTCAACAAGGGCGAAACTCCATCTCAAAAAAAAAAAAAAAACTAAAAATTCTTAGAGGAAAACAGGCCTTAATTTGTGTGACTCCTTGATTAGGCTGTGGCTTCTTAGATAGGTCATTAAAATCGTAAGCAACCAAAGAAAAAAACAAATTTATTGGACATAATCAAAATTTAAAATGTTCACAATAAAAAATTTAAGACTTATAATTCAAAGCACATTATCAAAAAAGTGAAAATACAACCCATAGAAAGATAAAAAATATTTTCAAGCCATGTATCTGATAAGGGTCTAGTATCCAGAATATATAAAGCACCATTACAACTCAATAAAAAGACAAATAACCTGATTAAAATATGTGCAAATTATTTAAATTAGATATTTCTCTAAAGAAAACATACAAATGGCCAATAAGCTCATAAAAAGACGCTCAACCTCATTAGCCATTTTGGAAATAGAAATCAAAGGTACAGTGAGAGATACAACTTCATACCACTAAGTTTGGAGTTCCTTAGAAACTTAATAAAATTACCATGTGACCCAGCAATTCCACCCCTAGGTAGATACCCAAAAGAGATTAAAACATATGTCCACACAAAAACTTGTACATAAATGTTTATAGCAGCATTATTCATAATAGCCAAAAAGTAGAAACAACCTAGATTTCCGTCAGCTGATGAATGGATAAATAAAATGTGCTATATCCATATAATGGAATATAAAGTCATAAAAAGGAATGAAGAGGAATAAAGTCATGAAAAGAAATGAAGTACTGAGTCATGCTACAGCATGGATGAACCTTGAAAACATTATACTAAGAGAAAGCAACCAGACGAAAAACCACATCTTGTATTATTCCATTCATGTGAAATGTCCAGGTGAGGCAGATCTATAAACACAATATAGATTAGTGGTTTCCAGAATTTTGAGGGGAAGGATAATAGGGAGTGACAGCTAATGGGTATGGGATTTCTTTTTGGAGTGATGAAAATATTCCAGAACTAGATAATGGTGATGATTGTACAATTTTGTGAATATAGCAAAAAACACTGGATTGTGTACTTTTAAAGAGTGAATATTATGGTTATGTGAATTATAGCTTTAAAAATTAAAAACTAGGCCGGGCGCAGTGGCTTATGCCTGTAATCCCAGCACTTTGGGAGGCCGAGGCGGGCAGATCACGAGGTCAGGAGATCGAGACCATCCTGGCTAACACGGGGAAGCCCCGTCACTACTAAAAATACAAAAAATTAGCCAGGCATGGTGGTGGGCGCCTGTAGTCCCACCTACTCGGGAGACTGAGGCAGGAGAATGGCGTGAACCCGGGGGGGCAGAGCCTGCAGTGAGCCGAGATCGCGCCACTGCACTCCAGCCTGGGTGACAGAGCGAGACTCCGTCTCAAAAAAAAAAAAAAGAAAAAAGAAAACCATCCACAACCCAATCTAAAATTTAAATTGGGCTAGGCACTGTGGCTCACACCTGTAATCCCAGCACTTTCGGAGGTCAAAGCAGGCAGTTCACCTGAGGTTAGGAGTTCAAAACCAGCCTGGCCAACATGGTGAGACCCCTTCTCTACTAAAAATACAAAAATTAGCTGGGTGTGGTGGCGCATGCCTATAATCCCAGCTACTCAGGAGGCTGAGGCAGGAGAATCACTTGAACCCAGGAGGCAGATGTTGCAGTGAGCTGAGATCGCGCTTCTGCACTCCAGCCTGGGCGACAGAGACTCCATCTCAAAAATAAATACATTAATTAATAAAAAAATAAAATTTAAATTGCATAAGAACCTTAGATTTGGGCCAGGCACGGAGGCTCATATCTGTGACCTCAGCACTTTGGGAGGCCAAGGGTTGCGGATCACCTGAGCTCAAGAATTTGAGAACAGCCTAGGCAATATGGCGAAACCCTGTCTCTACAAAACATATAAAAATTAGCCGAGTGAAGGCAGGGCGCGGTGGCTCACGCATGTAATCCCAGCACTTTGGGAGGCCAAGGCGGGTGGATCACGACGTGGTCAGGAGATCAAGACCATCCTGGCTCACATGGTGAAACCCCGTCTCTACTAAAAATACAAAAAATTAGCCGGGCATGGTGGTGGGCGCCTGTAGTCCCAGCTACTTGGGAGGCTGAGGCAGGAGAATGGCGTGAACCCGGGAGGCGGAGCTTGCAGTGAGCCGAGATCGCGCCACTGCACGCCAGCCTGGGTGACAGAGCGAGACTCTGTCTCAAAAAAAAAAAAAAAAAAAAAAAAAATTAGCCGAGTGTGGTGGTGTGTGCCTATAGTCCCAACTACTTGGGAGGCTGAGGTGGGAGGATGTCTTCAGCCCAGGAGATGGAGGGTCCAGTGAGCCGAGTACGTGCCACTCCACTCCAACATGAGTGACAGAGCCAGACTGTGTCTCAAAAACAAACAAAACCCTTAGATTTATAAACATAAAGCTTTGAGTGCCTTAAAGTGGATGTTAGAAAGAAACACTGAATGTGATGAGGGTGGAGAAACAACAGAAATCACTTCCTTGTCAATGTCGGCACATGATACCAGATGTTTGGATTTCTGCTTGCTGGGTATACCTCATTTTTGCTATGGTTACTATTCTTTGGTTTCCCTAGAAGCTTTGGATAATTTTTAGGAATTAGTGTTTATATTTTAACATAACTTTTAGTAGTGGAATTATGAGAACATCCAGTTAGCATTTATCAATTGAATTGTTTTTTTGAAGCAGAGTCTCACTCTGTCGCCCAGGCTGGGGTGCAGTGATGTGATCTTGTCTCACTGCAATCTCCGCCTCCCAGGTCCAAGCAATTCTCCTGCCTCAGCCTTCCGAGTACCTGGGATTACAGGCGTGTACCACAATGCCTGGCTAATTTTTGTATTTTTTTTTTCCACTCTGGCTAGGCTGGAGTGCAGTGGCGCGATCTCAGCTCACTGCAACCTCTGCCTCCCGGGTTCAAGTGATTCTGCCTCAACCTCCCGAGTAGCTGGGATTACAGGCAGCCACCACTACGCCCGGCTAATTTTTGTATTTTTAGTAGAGACGGGGTTTCACCATGTTGGTCAGGCTGGTCTCGAACTTCCAATCTCAAGTGATCAGCCTGCCTTGGCCTCCCAAAGTGCTGGACAGGTATGAGCCACCACCCCGGCTTAATTTTTGTATTCTCAGTAGAGATGGGGTTTTATCATGTTGCCCAGGCTGGTCTCGAACTCCTGGTCTCAAGTGACCCACCCACCTCAGCCTCCCAAAGTACTGGGATTACAGGCGCGAGCTACCACAACCGGCCTATCAGTTGAATAGTAAAAAATAATTTTTTTTTGAGGCGGAGTCTCGCTCTGTTGCCCAGTCTGGAGTACAGTGGCGTGATCTCGGCTCACTGCAACCTTGCCTGGCTAATTTTTGTATTTGTATTTTTATTTTATTATTATTATTATTTTTTTTTTGAGATGGAGTCTTGCTCTGCTGCCCAGTCTGGAGTACAGTGGGGTGATCTCGGCTCACTGCAACCTCCACCTCCCGGGTTCAAGTGATTCTTCTTCCTCAGCCTCCTGAGTAGCTGGGATTACAGGTGCCTGCCACCATGCCTGGCTAATTTTTGTATTTTCAGTAGAGATGGGGTTTCACCATGTTGGCCAGGCTAGTCTTGAACTCCTGACCTTATGTTCTGTCTGCCTCGGCCTCCCAAAGTGCTGGGATTACAAGCATGAGCCACTGTGCCTGGCAATTTTTGTATTTTTAGCAGAGACGGGGTTTCACCATGTTGGTCAGGCTGGTCTTGAACTCCTGACCTCGTGATCCACCCGCCTCGGCCTCCCAAAGTGCTGGGATTACAGGCGTGAGCCACCGCGCCCAGCCTAAAGCATAAATTTTAAGTTATTGCAGAATAAAATGCATTATTAGTATGTCAATTTAATGCTCTTTATCTTTATTTCTCATGTTTTAAACTTAGCTGCTTTCTCTTTTCTCTAAGAAGCAGAAACTTGTGAAACAATTGCCTTTAACTTCTATATGCTTAGAAACAGATTCACCTGCACTAGGACCAGAAAAACAGGTAAATGGTTTTCTAATTTCTATATTATTTAGATTGTATCTTTCATTTGAGTTCTTTTCAATTTAGCTGTATTTCTCATTATAGTGTAAATACAGTGGAATCCTCATATACTGCCAGATTGAGGGCTTATATTAACTTTATTTCAGGTCTTTCTAAATATAGCTGTTGCACTCCAGAGAATATTATTTGATAATGAAGCATGTCCTAATGTATGTAATAATAAGAGTCAGACCAGTGTAGTAAAAAGCACAGTGTCTGCAGTCAGAAAGACAAATTCAAATCCTGTTATCTACCTAGTAGCTGACTTTGGGCAAGCTACTTAATCTCTCTGAAACTGCTTTTTCATTTATAAAATATGGGTAAAATAATAAATACATTAAAAGATTATGGTGGGCTGGGCACGGTGGCTCACACCTGTAATCCCAGCACTCTGGGAGGCCAAGGCGGGCAGATCACCTGAGGTCAGGAGTTCGAGACCAGCTTGACTAACATGGAGAAACCCTGTCTCTACTAAAAATACAAAAAAATTAGCTGGGCGTGGTGGCACATGCGCCTGTAATCGCAGCTACTCGGGAGGCTGAGGCAGGAGAATCGCTTGAACCCGGGAGGTGGAGGTTGCAGTGAGCCGAGATTGCACCATTGCACCCCAGCCTGGGCAACAAGAGCAAAACTCCATCTCAAAAAAAAAAGAAAAGATTATGGTAAGTATTACATGAAGTAACGTATGTGAACGTAACTAGCAGTATCTGGTATACAGTAGGTATTCAATGAGTGTTCATTTTTCTTCTTTTAATTAGCATGTTATAATGAAGTTCTATTTCTTTCAATACAAGTATTGATATAATCATGGGTTTATTTATATGATCTTTGCTGTTAGTATCTCTTTTTGTTATTGTAGGCCACAAAGAATCATATTTTAAATTTCACTCTCTTTCATATTGCTACTATTTTAAATTATAATTTTCTGAAAGTAAGCCACAGTATATGCTTTATTTGCTTTAGGCAGTACCTATTACAATGACCTCCCAATGTGCAGTTTAATAAGTGCCTTTGACTACCCATCAGATCTGTGTCTCTATGCCTGCCAAATTCAGAGAATTGGCACTCAAAATTTAGAGGTTTGGGAACAGTAGCAATTATTATCCGTTTATTCAGAAACTATGATTATATGTGATTGCAATGTGAATTTTACTAACTGATGTTCAATTAATGTTTCTATTTTTATTTTCTTTCTTTTCTTTTTTTTTTTTTTTTTGAGACAGGGTCTACTCTGTCACCCAAGCTATAGTGCAGTGGCGTGATCACAGCAACCTCGACTTTCTGGGTTCAGATGATTCTCCATCAGGCATGTGCTACCATGCCTGGCTACTTGTTTTTGTTTTTGTTTTTGTTTTGTTTTTGAGACAGAGTCTTGCTCTGTCGCCCAGGCTGGAGTGCAGTGGCGCAATCTCAGCTCACTGCAACTTCCGCCTTCTGGATTCAAGCAATTCTCCTGCCTCAGCCTCCCTAGTAGCTGGGATTACAGGCTTGTGCCACCACGCCCGGCTGATTTTTGTATTTTTAGTGCACATATATTTCATAAAAACAGGATTAACTTGGACATATTATTTTATAACTGATCTTTATGTGGTAAACCTCTGTATATATATTTTTTTTGTTAATTTTTTTTTTAATAGAGACAAGGTCTCACTATGTTGCCCAGGCTGGTCTCAAACTCCTAAGCTCAAGTGATCCTCCCACCTCGGCCTTCCTAAGTGCTAAGATTACAGGTGTAAGCCACTGCACCTGGCTGAACCTCTGTATATATTAATAAACATACTTTTCTTCATCATGTTTAATAACTGCATAATATTCCAGTATGTGAGTTTACCATATTTAACTTGCTATTGGTCATCTAGATTGTATTATAAACAACATGATTAACATAAATCTCTATGCCCATTTTTAATTTTTTTGGGCTACATTACCAAAGTGCATTTTAAAAATTTTAACAATAATGTTATTCTTCTGAACATTATCATCCTGAGTAGATACTTATTGATAGTAACAATAATAATTTATTTCATAAAATCTAAATGCTACTGATTGTAGAGGCACCATTGTTTACCATTGTTTTATGACCATTAAGAAAGAAAAAACACTGCCAGTTATACTATGAAATACCACTGAATCTAAATGAAATATACTGTATCAATTTCAGAGATGTTAAAATAGGAGAGGAAATGCATCTTAGAATCAGTGAAATGCCAGTACATAATCTATTTCATCTTTCCAATACATGTTGGCAATTCTTGAATCAAACTGTCATGTAGCCTGTGAGGTAGGCGGCCAAGCAGCAGAGCAGTGACCTTTTACAAGCATTCACCTAAGCAACAAACCAAAGGACAATTAATCCATTAGTCAGGCAGGTTACCAGGTGTTCACTGTTTGCAGACTGCTTCATGTGCTAGGAGCTAGGGACTTCAATTGTAAATACCCCAGGGTTCTTTTCAGGAGCAGCACAGATTTACAATCAACATTGCAGCCACACCTCCCTCCCAGCCCTCATCCCCACCTAAAAAGAAAAAAATTAAAAAGGAGCCCATCAGTTGTTTTTACCAACTCATTTTCTTCTATCTATAGTCTCCAAGGATCTGCTTCCCTTCAGTGTCATGTTTGACATGGTGTCTGCTGTCTTGTTTCAGGTACGGAATGAGCCCTGGAACATTTCTATTTCAGCAGAATATATTGCCCAGGTGAAAGGGATCTCAGTGGAAGAAGTTATAGAAGTGACGACACAGAATGCATTAAAACTGTTTCCTAAGCTCCGACACTTGCTCCAGAAATAGCTTCAAAACCATCCATTACAAAATCGAATCAACTGCAGGGGGCAGCATTTGAAAAATAGAAATGTTCTGATGAAGAATCTGAACTGAAGAAGCTGTTTTATAGGGTTATAGAAGATTGTAATTGTAGAGAAATATTTCTCTTAGAAATAAAACTGGGCTTGGATCCTGAAACCCTGGGTTCTGATTCTAGCCTTGTGCTGCTTTTCAATTAGCCGAGTTCTGGCAGGATATTGGGAAAATACTGCTACTTCTTACATTGCCCTTTTATATAGAACCACCACCTGAACTGAAACCATTGCTACTGGGAAGGGTGGCTCCCACAGGAAGAGTATAAGCACTACTGTGATGAGGATGGAGTAAGCTAAAGTATACTTTTTTTTTTTTTTGATGGAGTTTCGCTGTTGTTGCCCAGGCTGGAGTGCAATGGCACGATCTTGGCTCACTGCAACCTCCACTTCCCAGGTTCTAGCGAGTCTCCTCCCTCAGCCTCCCAAGTAGCTGGGATTACAGGCATGTGCCACCATGCCCAGCTAATTTTGTATTTTTAGTAGAGACAGGGTTTCTCCATGTTGGTCAGGCTGGTCTCGAACTCCCGACCTCAGGTGATCCGCCCGCCTCGGCCTCCCAAAGTGCTGGGATTACAGGCATGAGCCACTGCGCCAGCCTAAAGTGTGTTCTTACCACCTATTTTTCTTCCCATAGGAGTTAGCCAGTGAAGGGAGAATGTCTGGTTTTCTATGCTGTCAGAAATCTCTTTTCTAGGTTTGTAAAATTGAACTTTTAGTACTTCGAATTATTTCTCTTTAAGATAAAAATGCATACGATTTTTACACTGATCTTAGATTTTTGACTTATGAGGCCAGTGGTTTAAACAATCATTATTGAATACCAAGCCCAAAAGTTTAGTTAATACACCAATTGTAAGTTCTGGTCTGAATTTTGTCAACATATTTAGAATGTAAATGGCATTATTAAAAATGTATCTGATTTCTCTGTGAACAGTAATATTTCATATTTTTAAGTTTAAAAATGTTAGTGTAAGCCAGGCACAGTGGCATTCACCTGTAGTGCCAACCACTCAGGAGGCTGAGATGGGAGACCTTTTAAGCCTGAGTTTGAGTCAGGCCTGGGCAACATAGATGTGAGCACCTATCTCTAAAAATGTAAATAAATAAAAATCTCAAAAAAATTAAAAATCTCAAGTGTAAAAACAGTTCTGTAGATAGATGGTAGTGATGGTAGCACATCAATGTGAAGGTATTTAATGCCACTGAACTGTACACTTATAACGAATTAGGATAAATTTTATGTTATGTGTATTTACTACAATTTTTTAAAAATCGTATATGTAGTTTAACAGGTGTGGTCAATATCAAAACTTAGGTATTTAATCTTGTTAAATTATATAAGCAGAAAATGCTGGAAAAAGTACCTGTCATAGAAAAAAATAAACTTCCTAAATCAAAGTGATTTTATGAAATGATCTTCAATAAATATTTTGAAATGAATTCATTTATGGAAGAATCAAAACTAGGTCAGATTGTCCAAACCAGACTAAGAAACTGAATAGGGTATTTTATGAGGTATTTAATGACTCATCAGCACCATTTTAAATGAAATTCCTACATTTAACAGGAGATTATATTAAAACTGGACTTTTAAGCTCTCTTCCAACTCTGTATTTCTTTTCCCTATTTCCTACCTTCTGTACACATACCCTTTGTCAGACTCTTACCATTAAATCGTTTAAGGTTCAAGTTAAATTACTTCATCTTGCCTCATCACCCAGCCAGACATGATCTTTGCCCTCTAAATTGTTTAGCCATTTTCTTCATGTATTCATCCATTTGTTTGTTTCAGTTATTAAGCCCCTCCTCCTATAGGCTGCCCACTAGTCTAGGTTCCTAGGTTACAAAGATGAATAAGATATGATCTTTGCCCTCAGTTCACAATTTAATCAAGGAGATAGCCAAGTGGACAAATAATTTCATAGCAATGTGAGAAGTGCTATTGTTAGAGGAACCCCTGCTTACCAGGCCTCTGGTTTAATAAAACATGACTAGAGGCTGGGCACAATAGCTGACGCCTGTAATCCCAGCACTTTGGGAGGCTGAGACAGGCGGATTACTTGAGGTCAGGAGTTGAAGACCAGCCTGGACAACATGGCAAATCCACATCTCTACTAAAATACAAAAAAATCATTCAGGCGTGGTGGAACACACCTGTGATCCTAGCTGCTCAGGAGGCTGAGGCACAAGAATCACTTGAACTCAGGAGGCTGAAGTGGCAGTGAGCCGAGATCGCACCACTACACTCCAGCCTGGGCGACAGAGCAAGACTCTCTCCCCACCCCCCTACAAAAAAGAAAACATGACTAGAGTGACCCCATCTTAAAGTGAGTAGCTAGGCTCTCACAAGGCAGTTATAATATTAATACTTAAGGTCTGAAAATAGCCACAAGTATTATAATTACAAAATATTCACACCTGTAATCCTAGCCCTTTGTGAGGCTGAGGCATGTGGATCGCTTGAGGCCAGGAGCTTGAGACCAGCCTGGCTCACATGGCAAAACCCTGTCTCTACTAAAATATTAATAGTTTAAAAAGCTGGGTGTGGTGGCGCATGCCTGTAATCCCAGCTACTCAGGAGGCTGAGGCATGAAAATCGCTTGAACCTGGGAGGTGGTAGTTGCAGTGAGCCAAGATGGTGCCACTGCATTCCAGCCTGAGCAACAGTGAGACTCTGTCTCAAAAAAAAAAAAAAAAAAAAAAATTATGGTCATGCAGAACATCTCCCACTAAGCCTGCAGAATGTCCAGATGTCCTGAGTGCAGCCCACTTCACTCAAAGATAACATTAATGAGTAGGCTTAGTTTGAAGGATTAATGGTCATTATAGCACCAATAGCCTTGACCTTTAGTGAGCATATATGCACATTCCAAGTTTAATCATAGCTCCTTACAGTTTCTTCTAAGTAGAGACACTACCCAAGGACAGTGTGTTCCTCCTGCTTTCTGAGGACTTACTACTCTCTAACAGAGTAGTTCTAATAAACTTTCTTCCTTCACTGTGCTCTGTGACTCCTCTCCAGTTCTTCCCTGTGCTAGACCCAAGGACTGGCTCTTGGAGTCTC
This sequence comes from Homo sapiens, assembly GCF_000001405.40. Taxonomy (NCBI): domain Eukaryota; kingdom Metazoa; phylum Chordata; class Mammalia; order Primates; family Hominidae; genus Homo; species Homo sapiens. The sequence continues at coordinate 212,818,289 of NC_000001.11, forward strand.
TTTTCCAGCAACACTATAGCAATGTAGAACAAAGTACTATAAACCAGTTCGTTGACACTTTCACATATTCCTTTTGACTATAGCTACCTGTGTATGTGTTTTCCATCTTTAGAAATTGCAAGCCTTTTGAGAACAAACCAATTTTAGTTTGTTTTTGCATCTTCTACATAGTCTGAAACAAGGCCTGCAATATGATATGCTCTCAATTTTTTTTTTTTTTTTTTTGAGACAGAGTCTCACGCTGTCACCCAGGCTGGAGGGCAGTGGTGCAATCTCGGCTCACTGCAACCTCCGCTTCCCGAGTTCAAGCGATTCTCCTGCCTCAGCCTCCCAAGTGGCTGCTATTACAGGTGCCCGCCACCACAACCAGCTAATTTTTTTGTATTTTTAGTAGAGACGGGGTTTCACCATGTTGTCCAGGCTGGTCTCGAACTCCTGACCTCGTGATCCGCCCTCCTCGGCCTCCCAAAGTGCTGGGATTACAGGTGTGAGCCACCATGCTCAGCCTCAAATATTTTTAAATTAGTGAATGGAGGCAGTAAGTCTTAAACTGACTGCAATAGAGAAAAATATTTATCTTTCAATCTGCAATGGCTATTGGATATCACATACCTTTCCACATTTTTTTTTTTAAATGAGTCCCACTCTGTAGCCCAGGCTGGAGTGCAGTGGCACGATCTCGGCTCACTGCAACCTCTACCTCCTGGGTTCAAGTGATTCTCTTGCCCCAGCCTCCTGAGTAGCTGGGATGACAGGCACCCGCCACCACGCCCGGCTTATTTTTTGTATTTTTAGTGGAGATAGGGTTTCGCCATGTTGACCAGGCAGGTCTTGAACTCCTGATCTCAGGTGATCCACCTGCCTCAGCCTCCCAAAGTGCTGGGATTACAAGTGTGAGCCACCGAGCCCAGCCTCCTTTCCACAGTTTTTTGAGAAACATATTTTTCTCCTTTAACTTATAAATCTACTAAATACCATCCAGAGATTTCCTAATGTTGAACCATTCTGAAAAATAGGAATAAACTCTTTTGGCCTGGAACAAGTCTTTCTGCATTCTATAGGAACACCCTCTCCCCTCAACTGAAAGGCAAAAAGAGATCTGCCACCTCCCTCGCCACACTGCCGCAGCATATGGTGACCTTCCTTACTAAAGGAAATGGTTTGTATTCTAGCTCCTTTTTTTTCTTTTCTTTCTTTCTTTCTTTTTTTTCTTTTAATTTTTTTTTTTTAGGTTAGAGCAGAAGTTTAATAAGCAAAAGGAAGAAAGCTGTCTGGATGAGAGAGGGGTCCCAGAAAGATGGGTTGCCCTCTTATTCTAGCTCTTGTCTTTATTTGAGTAAGAATCAGATGAAATTGTCTTATTCTTTAAAGAATTGTTATCGGCTCTTTTCTTTCATTATTTTGTAACTAAGAGTTCATTTAATCACCTTGCTGCTTGCTCTTTATCTCTGGTTCACTATTTTCCTGTCGTAATCCCCTCCGTACTTTGCTGTTGCACATTTCCTTCCCCTCTCCAAGCCCGCCTTCTAAACTAAACATGAAGGGGAATCCCGTTTTTGCATGGTCAAGCTTCACTCATACTTCAGAGTTTAATTTCTTGCCTTTGCCCTTTCTTGCCCTTTTGTGCTTTTGACAGAATACTTCAAAGCAGCATATGTAAATTTTCATTTCATTTATAGGATCTGAGTAACTTAGAAAGGGTTTCCAGAGACTGTTCTATGCTTGTTAGAGCTTAGCTTTTCAAGCATAGGCAAATCTCACTGTCCTTTATAAATTATGACAACGTCAGTACTGATGATTACAGAGTCAGTAAAAAAGATAAAATGGAAAGAGATGAGATAATTCAAAGATTACCAGTGCTACAAGTTTAAACATAGGACTCTAAGCAAAAATATCCTAATAGGACCTCCTGAAACCCTTCCTCTTTGGCTAATTCTGAAACACACATATCTCCAAAAAAGATGACTTCTTTAGTGAGCATTCCTGTAATTCATGAAAATCTGTAGTATTTATGCCTTAGGTATTAAAAATGGTGCAAATAACTTCTCATTTCTCAGTTTAGTAGTTTAAGTTATACATATTGAGGCTAGGCACAGTGGCTCACGCCTGTAATCCCAGCACTTTGGGAGGCTGAGGCAGGTGGATCTCTTGAGGTCAGGAGTTCAAGAGCAGCCTGGCCAACATGGCGAAACCCTGCCTCTACTAAAAACACAAAAATTAGCTGGTCTTTGTGGCATGCACCTGTGGTCCCAGCTACTCAAGAGGCTGAAGGAGGAGAATCACTTCAACCCAGGAGGTGGAGGTTGCAGTGAGCTGAGATTGTGCCACTGCACTCCAGCCTGGGCAACAAGGCGAGATTCAGTCTCAAAAAAAAGTTGTACATGTTGAGAACCTTGCCTAGCATGTAAGAACAGAAAGTGTTAAGAGCCTAATGTGTGTACAAGACTTTTCTGTGGATTACTTCTGAGGCTCAAGTAATTTAACTAAATTGTATAAATTCTCACAGCTAATGTGTGATACATTTAGAACTATAATACCCTGACTTCCATCCCAGCACTGTTTTCCAAATATCAAATGCCTCCCAGTCTGCCATCTACATGAGCTTAAGTGACATCCTTCACAGGCCATCCTTAGAGTATTGCAAATCAGGAACTCTGAATTGGGGGGCTGGCCTCTGAGTGTACAGGCAATAACTGAGGGAAGTATTAGGGAGGGAGAAGGGATCTTGCGGTTCACATGGATGGACGTTAGACAGGTTTGTTGTTTTTGTTTTGTTTTGTTTTGTTTTTGGTCATCCCATATGTGAGTTCCCTTTGTGTGGGGAATGCCTCACCTTATTAAGCAAACCTGCTTCCCACTATAGAAGTTAAAACTGCCAAGTAATCACTTTCCAGCCCCTCTTGCAACCAGGACACTGATTTTAAAAAGCCAGTACTGAGCTTACTCCATGCTTACAAGTGTGGGTAGTGTGGCAGGGATTTTAATGGCAATATTCTGAGGCTAGCTTGCAGAAGGTGGCAGTGTGTTAGCCACACAGTCTATGCCCAGTGTCTGTGGCAGTGGAGTCTCTATGGTTCTTGTACACTGGCTTGAGTTTGTTTTGTCATCCCTCCTGGAAATTTTATGAACTATTCAATATCCTTCAGTAAATTCCTTTTCTGCTTAAATTAGCCAAATTTGGCTGGGCACAGTGGCTTGTGCCTATAATCCCAGCACTTTGGGGGGCCAAGGCGGGAGGATCACTTGAACCTAGGAGTTCAAGACCAGCCTGAGCAACATAGGGAGACTCGGTCTCTACAAAACATTTAAAAACTCACCAGGCCTGGTGGTACATGCCTGTGTTCCCAGCTACTTGAGAGGCTGAGGTAGAAGGATCGCTTGGGCCCAGGAGGTCGAGGCTACAGTGAGCCATGATCGTGTCACTGCACTCCAGCCTGGGTGACAGAGCAAGATTCTGTTAAAAAAATAAATAAATAAATAATAATAATAAATTAGCCAAATTTTGTTTCTGATGCTTGCCTTTTTTTTTTTTCTTGAGACAGAGTCTTTCTCTGTCACCCAGGCTGGAGTGCACTGGTGCGATCTTGGCTCACTGCGACCTCCGCCTCCTGGGTTCGAGCAATTCTCCTGCCTCAGCCTCCTGAGTAGTTGGGATTACAGGTGCCCACCACCATGCCCAGCTAATCGTTGTGTTTTTAGTAGAGACGGGGTTTCTCCGTCTGGTTGGTCAGGCTGGTCTCGAACACCTGGCCTCAGGTGATCCACCCGCCTCGGCCTCCCAAAGTGCTGGGATTACAGGTGTGAGTCACCACGCCCAGTCATGATGTTTGCATTTTTAAGAACCCTGTTTAATGAGAAAATCAATACCCTGAAGTAGTTGTCATCAAGAGACCCTTAGGAAAATGAAGGAAAATAGGAAAGAAGGAAGAGAGGGAAATCTGGGATTGGTTATATAGCCTGCATAGGTCTCCAGGCAGCAAAATTCCAATTAATTTAAAGGATGAGACACTGGAAGGATATGGAAGATGCTGATCATACTTGTGAAAGCATTTTAAATTCTTATGGCAAGAAGGATATGTATTGACTTGGAGGCAACCAAGGGATACACTGCAATGAACACTGTTTAATATTTTGGGCCTACTTTTCATATAATAAAGTGAGAAAGCCCTCATTTTATGAGGCAGGACCCATCTTCCACCCTAGAGACTGAAAATGCCAAATATTTACTTTCCCAGTGTTCCTCACTATTATGGCAAATACATGACTTAAGTTCCACCAATCAGAGGTACACAGCCCAGATTTTGAGTCAGAAGCCAGGAATATAAAGAAACCAACTGCATGGGACTTTGTGCTGGTGTGGGAAGTAGCAGCTGCACCCATTTTCAGAGGCAGTGGTGGCACTGATCCTAGTAGCTGTATCTAGTGTCCCAAGGCAGTGAGTCTTCATGGACCAGCCTTGTGACCTGATTTGGGGCACTGTTTCTAGCTCTATAACCTACAAACCTGGTTTTTGGCCCTCTTGGAGATTATGTGAGCTACCTAATATATTAATAAATTTGTATGCTTAAATTAGTCAAGGTTGGTTTCTGTTTCTTGAAACTAAACTCTGACTGATAGGGAAGGCAATCAGTCCACAAAACTCCACCATTCCCAAGACCAAAACTTACCTTCCTCTCTTTCCCTCCCATCTTTCATGTATTTTGAGGCTTCTTTCCTGATTTTAAAATGTCAGGATAGGGAATAAGAACTTTGAATTTTCCAGGAATTGCTTAACCTCAACCCCAGAGATGGTCTTGAGCCATTAAACCCTTAGGGGTAGTTATGCCTTGCAATTCATCAATAGCCACAATTCACTGTTTATGTAATACTCCTGTCATTATAAAAAGCCCTCTTGTTGAGGCCGGGAGTTGTGGTCATGCCTGTAATCCCAGCAGTTTGGGAGGCTAAGGCGGGAGGATCACTTGAGATAGAGTTCCAGACCAGCCTGGCCAAATGGTGAAACCCATCTCTACTAAAAATACAAAAAGTAGCCAGGCATGGTGGGTGCGCCTGTAGTCCCAGCTACTCCGGAGGCTGAGGCACGAGAATCACTTGAACCCGGGAGGTGGGGGTTGAAGTAAGATGAGATCGAGCCACTGAACCCCAGACTGGGTGACTGAGCAAGACTCTGTTAAAAAAAAAATCCTTTTGTTGGAAACTCAGAAGAAAAGTCAGGAGTCAGGAATTAATTTGACCAGAAAGAATACACCCGTTGGAATCAAACAAAGAATCGAGTCTGTGAAATTGTAGCACAAAACCCCACACAAAACAAGTCCTAGGGGAACTTCTCCCCAATCCCCAAAGGTCACAAGAGATCTCCAATAACCCCATTTCCCAAGGTTCCTCTCTGGGTTTGAGGTGTGTCACACAGCTACCTCTACCACCACAACAAAGCTTGCCAATGCAATACTGTCACCAAACAGAAATTTACTGGACTGACTAACACATATTATCAGGGAAGCCCATTTTAACAGGGGCCTTCTGAAATCAGTAGCTTCCTATAGAAGGACTCTACATGCAAATGTCATTTGAATCTGCTTCCTCTCACTTTCTTATCTGGGACCCAAATGGAAACATTTATTATTGATGTAATTTAAGAAGCCTAAAAACGATCATTGAAATATCTAGTTTCCTGTCTGTGCCAGGGCGGCACGCGGTCCACGCCAAACAATAGAGATGCTCAGGCTGTGCCCTCAGGGACCAAATGGGAGACAATAGCACCTGCGGGGACAGAGAGCCCAGACATCAAGCTCTTTGGGAAGTGGAGCACCCATGATGTGCATGCAGATCAATAACATTTCCCTGCAGGATTACATTGCAGTGAAGAAGTATGCCAAGCACCTGCCTCACAGTGCAGGGTAGTATGCCGCCAAACGCTTCCGCAAAGCTCAGCACCCCATTGTGGAGTGCCGCACTCACTCCATGATGCCGCAACAACTGCAAGAAACTCGTGACCTTGCGCATCACCAAGCATGCCTTCGAGACCATTCACCTGCTCACAGGAGAGGACTCTCTGCAGGTCCTGGTGAACGCCATCATCAACAGTGGTCCCCGGGAGGACTCCATACGTATTGGGCGAGCCGAGCCTGGGCCGTGAGACCACAGGCTGTGGAAGTGTCCCCCTTGTGCCGTGTGAATCAGGCCATCTGGCTGTTGTCCACAGGTGCTCGTGAGGCCCTTTGGGGCAGCCCCACGAAAAAGAGAGAGAAGAGAAGAGAAGAGAAGAGAAGAGAAGAAAGAGAAAGAGAAAGAAAGATCAAAAACTGTTAATAAAATAGCAATTTGGTTTTCTTTTTCTGTGTGGGTTTTTTTTTTTTTTTTTTTTTTTTTTTTTTTTTTTGAGATGGGGTCTCACTTGACAGAGCGACGATCCAGGCTGGAATGCAGTGGCGCCATCTTGGCTCACTGCAACCTCTGCCTCCCTGGCCCAAGCCATCCTCCCACCTCAGCCTCCCAAGTAGCTGGGACCACAGGCACAAGCCACCATGCCTGGCTAATTTTTGTATTTTTGGAAGAGACAGGGTTTCGCCATGTTACCCACGCTGGTCTTGAACTCCTGAGCTCAAGCAATCATCTCACCTCAGCCTCCCAAAGTGCTGGGATTACAGGCATGAGCCATTGTAGCCAGACACAAAATTTGTTTTTATTTAAATGTTATTAATTTATGTTTAGGGACAGGGTCTCGCCGTGTTGCCCAAGCTTGTCTTGAACTCCTGGCCTCAAGCAATCCTCCAGCCTCGGCCTTCCAAAGTGCTGGAATTACAGGCATGAGCCACCACACCCAGCCACAAATAGCAAATTTCTTACAATTCCTCCAGAGTGCCAGTCAGCCTTGCTCTTTACTAAATTTCCCAGAAGCCTACCAAGGCTGCCCTGTGGATTTCCTGAGCCACCTGGTAGAGCTGAGGATAATGAGTTTCATGTGGGGCCCCCTCTACTCCTCTCTGGTTCTCAAGGGCACGGGCAAGGCCAGAGTCCATCCACCCCAGTGGAATTCAGAGAGTGGGGAATTGGGAATCACGAGCATTGGCCTGGGTCTTTCAGATGCCAGAGAATCCCCCAGTATAAGGTAAAGGGTTATTTTGGGGGACAGCTTCTGTGATGGTTAATTTGATGTGTCAACTTGGTGAGGCTACATTACTCAGCTAGTTGGTTAAACATTATTCTAGATGTTTCTGTGAAGGTATATTGTAAATTAGATTAACGTTTAAATCAGTGGACTGTGAGTGAAGCATGTTACCCTCTGTAAAGTGGATTGGCTTCCTCCAATCAGTCGAAGGCCTTAGAAATAGAAAAAGACTGACCTTCCCAAGCAAGAAGGAATTCCGCCAGCAGACTGCCTTTGGGCTTTGCAGGGAGCCAGGGCAGAAAAGGAGGAAAGTGTCTGTGATTTAGTGCTACTGAGGAAACCCATGCATTGACAGATATGAAACACTCCTGGGAGGGGGTAGAGAGCATGTGGACTTTCTGCCATTTCAGGTAAGGTCAGAGTCCCAATGGATATATTGTCTTGTGACTTTTGAGTTTCTGGTTTTAGCCTGAGACTGTTGTAGGGTGTATAGAGGAGGATAAAGTAGAAAATGCCTAAGGTGGTGTTAGAAATGCAAAATGCTTGTTCCCCAGTGCAGCAAAGAAATAGCACTCCAACATAAATTTAATTTTCTCAGCAAGGCAATTTTTACTTTCTGCAGAAAGTGTGCCCTTCACAGATGGAACAATGGTGAGAGCATACCTGGACAGGGGAAGGGAAGGAGTTATTCCTGATGCAGGTAGCTCCTACTGCTGTGTCGTTCCCCTATTGGCTTAGGTTGGACAGCACAGTCTAAGCTAATTCCGATTGGCTGTTTTAAAAAGAGCAGGAGTACGAGCCGGAGTGGCAGCGTGAGTAGTTTGGTGGGAAAGATGGTTAGGAACAGGTAACTAAGGTGACTTAGGTCAGACTGGGTGACCAGGCATGACTCAGGTCAGAGCAGGTGACCGGAATGAGTCAGGATGAAGCAGGTGACCAGGGGAACAGATGTGAATTACTAACTAGGACTGGTGGGAGAGTTGTTTACTGAAACCAGAGGCAAGGGGGTGAAGAGAACCAGGAAGTTAAGCTTTAAAATGGAGAATCAAAGAATAAGAGAGCTGAACATACTAATATACTCAGCCAGGCGTGGTGGCTCACGCCTGTAATCCCAGCACTTTGGGAGACTGAGGTAGGTGGATCACATGAGATCAGGAGTTTAAAACCAGCCTGACCAATATGGTGAAACCCTGTCTCTACTAAAAATACAAAAATTAGCCAGGTGTATTGGTGCATGCCTGTAATCCCAACTACTCAGGAGGCTGAGGCAGGAGAATTGCATGAACCCAGGAGAAGGAGGTTGTAGTGAGCCAAGGTCACGCCACTGTACTCCAACCTGGGTGACAAAGCTAGACTCCATCTCAAAAAAAAAAAAAAAAAAAAAAAAACAGGCTGGGTGCGGTGGCTCACGCCTGTAATCCTGGCACTTAGGGAGGCTGAGGTGGGTGGATCATGAGGTCAGGAGATTGAGACCATCCTAGCTAACACGGTGAAACCCCATCTCTACTAAAAATACAAAAATACACACACACACACAAAAAAGATTAGCCAGGCGTTGTGGCAGGTGCCTGTAGTCCCAGCTACTTGGGAGGCTGAGGCAGAAGAATGGCGTGAACCCAGGAGGCAGAGCTGGCAGTGAGCCGAGATCACGCCACTACGCTCTAGCCTGGGCAACAGAGCGAGACCCCGTCTCAAAACAAACAAACAAACAAACAAACAAACAAAACATGCTAACATACTGATTCTTTGAAGAGAAAATTGGGGTTCACTATAAATTTAACAGTGGGATCAGGGGTGAGGGAAGGTTTCCAGAAGGAGGTGTTATCAAATTAAATCTTGCACAAATTGAAGTTAGGTAGAGAGGAGGTAACGGAATAAGGCAAGTTCAGAGAGTCACAAGTAGGTCTATAAAACCAGAGGCACACAGCTGGGAGGGTGGATAGGGTTAGGAGAGAGCTGAGGTTAGAGAATGTGTTAATTGTACTGTCCAGCTGGGTGTGGTGGCTCACATATGTAATCCCAGCACTTTGGGAAGCTGAGGTGGGAGGATTGCTTGAAGCCAGGAGTTTGAAACCAGACTGGTCAACATAGCCAAAGTAAAAAAATTAGCTGGGCACGGTGGTGCACACCTGTCTTCCCAGCTACTTAGGAGGCTGAGGTGGGGCAATTGCTTGAGCAGGAGAGGTTGAGGCTGCATTGAGAGGTGATCACCCCACAGCACTCCAGCCTGGGCAACAGAGTGAGACCCTGTCTCAAAAAGAAAAAGAAGAAAAAGAAATGTACCGTCCATACCCTGACACGCCTTTACCAAAACCTATGTGTTTATTTCCTATTATTCATCCTAGCTAGAGCCAAAGAAATAATACTGTATTTGATAGTCTTTATTTGAGCTTCTGAATGTGGGGAGATAATTATCTACAGGACTCCCATGTTTCTGCACATCTAGGGAGCAGAAGCACTGACGACCTTTGTTTCAGGTAATCTCTTTGGAAGATCGTGACTCCCTCTGGAGCAGAGGGCAGCTCTGTTTACCATCCACTATAATGAAGATAATGTCTCTTTCTGGGCAAAGGTTGGGTTTCTTTAAGCTCAGGATTCCTCAGCTATGAGGCAAAACCTCTGCGTGTGTGGCATCTACCTGGACATCTTCACATCGCCCCATGGATCTTGAGGGAGTGGGGGAGGGCAAGGGGAACTGACCCCAACAAGAGGCTTGTGTTCCTTGCTGTGCTCTAAGTAGTAAAATCCTTTGCCTCTGAACCAGGAGCCTCATGTCTTCTGCAGGTGCCCATGACAGCTGTGCCAGGATAATCCTTTAGTTATTAACACTAGGTATTTGCTTTAAAACAAACAAACAAAAACAGGCCGGATGAAGTGGCTCATGCCTGTAATCCCAGCACTTTGGGAGGCTGAGGAGGGCGGATTGCTTGAGGCCAGGAGTTCACGACCAGCAACATGGCGAAACCCCATCTCTACTAAAAATACAAAAATTAGCCAGGCATACACTTGTCATCCCAGCTACTCAGGAGGCTGAGGTGGGAGAATCATCTGAGACCGGGAAGTCCAGCTGCAGTGAGCCATGATCATGCCACTGCACTCAAGCCTGGGTGACAGAATGAGACCCTGTGTCAAAAAAAAAAAAGGCAGACTTTCACCATGTTGCACAGGGTGGAGGGCAGTGGCTATTCACAGCCATGATCCTGGCACACTACAGCCTTGAACTCCTGGACTCAAGTGATCTCTCACTCCAGCCTCCTGAGTAGCTGGGACTATAGGTATCTGCCACCACTGCCTGGCTAGGTATTTGCCTTTTGGGAAGTGAAAAATTAGCTGTAGTTCTGTGTCGTTTGTTTTTATTATTTTTAACATTTTCTCATGGTTGATGAGTCTTATCCACACTGTGCCCTACTATATAGTCCTGACTGACATAGGGTTTTAAGCCAGCTGGCTTATCCATATCCCTTCTAATATCAGAATGCTTTGGCTCTCTATGAATCTGAGCTTCCTGTGGAAGTAGAGGGCAACCAAATAAAAAGTGAATGTCTTATTGAAATAAATACAAATGCCAAGAAGCTCTGGGTTCCAGGCCAGGCAGTGCTCTGCTTGGCATATGGACTAGGTTCTTAACCACACAAAGGAACATAAGCCAAGTTAAGATCTGAAGAGGCTCATGCCTGTAATCCCAGCACTTTGTGGGGCTGAGGCGGGCAGATCACCTGAGGTCAGGAGTTCGAGACCAGCCTGGGCAACATGGTGAAACCCTGTCTCTACTAAAAATACAAAAATTAACCTGGCATAGTGGCACACACCTGTAGTCCCAGCTACTCAGGAGGCTGAGATGAGAATTGCTTGAACCTGGAAAGCAGATGTTGCAGTGAGCCAAATCACACTGCTGCACCCCAGCCTGGGCAACAGACCAAGACTCCGTCTAAAAAAAAAAAAGTGATTTGAAGAGACTGTGATCCAAGAAGCAATGAAACGGAGGTGATAGTAGCCAAATAGGATGTGGCCATGAGATAATTCTAACCATCACCACTGTGGGGATGGACAACGTAATGTAACAGAAAGCCCTGTCTACAGGCACCTTATATTAGCCTCTCAAATATCTCCTTATTCAAATAATCAAAACCATAACTTTAACAGAGGAAGTTAATCTATCATTTATAAGCAAGTGTTAACTTTTTAGCCTTCAACCTGATCAGTGGGGTTGGTCAATATATTCCATTGAGTTATAGAAACAAATATAAACTATTATTTAAACATTTTAGATTACTAAGGAGAAGATTGCCTGGGCATGGTGGCTCACACCTGTAATCCCAGCACTCTGGGATGCCAAGGCGAGTGGATCACCTGAGGTCAGGAGTTCAAGACCAGCCTGACCAACATGGTGAAATGTCATCTCTACTAAAAATACAAAAATTAGCTGGGTGTGGTGGCGTGCGCCTGTAGTCCCAGCTTCTCAGGAGGCTGAGACAGGAGAATAGCTTAAACCCAGGAGGTGGAGATTGCAGTGAGCTGAGATCATGCCACTGCATTCCAGCCCGGGGAACAGAGCAAGATTCTGTCTCAAAAAAAAAAAAAAAAAAAAGGGATCACTGTAAACTAAACTCTTAGGTATTCATGTTTGAAAGTAACTAAAAAACTCAAATCCTCTCTTCAAATCATCTAAGTTTAAATGATAGAATGGAATGAATAAAGATATGTTTTATGTGACTTAATGTTTTTTGAGGGATCTAGTGAATACTTTTGTTTAGCTTTGTTTATAATTAATAATTTGTAAATAATTTAGACACACTGAAGAAGAATCAAAGAGAATGTATTTCCGTGTGTCTCTGGAGATGCACTTTATCCAAATATGGCATTATCTGAAAAAATAAAAAATAAAAAGTATTTGTTATATAACTTATAACACATTTCATGGTTTTTAAAATAACCCTGGAGGGCAGAGTATTGTTTTTCAGATACAGGAACTAAGGTTTAGAAACACCAAATGGGCCGGGTGCGGTGGCTCACACCTGTAATCCCAGCACTTTGGGAAGCCGAGGTGGGCGGATCACGAGGTCAGGAGATCGAGACCATCCTGGCCAAGATGGTGAAACCCCATCTCTACTAAAAAAATACAAAAATTAGCCGGGCGTCGTGGCGCGCTCCTGTAGTCCCAGCTACTCAGGAGGCTGAGACAAGAGAATCGGTTGAACCCAGGAGGCGGAACGTGCAGTGAGCCGAGATCACACCACTGCACTCCAGCCTGGGCGAAAGAGCAAGACTCCGACTCCAAAAAAAAAAAAAGAAACACCAAATGGCGGCCAGGCGCTGTGGCTCACGCCTGTAATCCCAGCACTTTGAGAGACTGAGGTGGGCGGATCACGAGGTCAAGAGATGGAGACCATCCTGGCCAACATGTTGAAACCCCCATCTCTACTAAAAAGACAAAAATTAGCTGGGTGTGGTGGGATGCGCCTGTAGTCCTAGCTACTCAGGAGGCTGAGGCAGGAGAAATCAGTTGAACCCGGGAGGTGGAGGTTGCAGTGAGCCGAGATCGCAACACTGCATTCCAGCCTGGTGACAGAGCAAGAAAAAATCTCAAAAAAAATTAGCTGGGTGTGGTGGTGCACACCTGTAATCCCAGCTACTCTGGAGGCTGAGGCAGGAGAATCGCTTGAACCCCGGGCAGCAGAGGTTGCAGTGAGCCAAGATCGAGCCACTGCACTACAGCCTGTGACAAAGTGACAGAGTGAGACTCCGTCTCAATAAATTAAAAAAAAAAAAAGAAAGAAAGAAACACCAAATGGTTGGGCACGGTGGCTCACGCCTGTAATCCCAGCGCTTTGGGAGGCTGAGGCAGGCAGATTGCTTGAGGTCAAGAATTTGAGACCAACCTGGGCAACATGGCAAAATCCAGACTCTATTAAAAAAATACAAAAGTTAGCCAAGCATGGTGGCACATGCCTATAGTCCCAGCTACTCGGGAGGCTGAGAGGTAGGAGGATCGCTCGAGCCCAGGAGGTTGAGGATACAGTGAGCTATGATCACACCACTGCGCTCCAGCCCCAGTGACAGAGCAAGACTCTGCCTCTAAAAAAAAAAAAAAAAACCTCAAATTACTAAAAGCATGATACTAGTCAATGACAGAGGCAAAACTTGAACCCAGGTGTTTTTAATTCTATATATTTAAATAAACTGCCCCCCTTTTGGGCTCCACATCTCCAAGTGGAAGATTGAAAAGAGGGCCTGGAAATCTCGGACTAAGAGAACTTCTTTCCTAGTCTTCACGTCACTATTAATAGAAGCAAAGAGGATCACCCAGAACTCCAAATACTCTATGCAAAATCTGTAACATTACTTCCCCTCAACACACAGGCCTCCCCACCAGGTTAGACCACCGCTAGGTTCGACCATCAGGACTAATCTCATTCTGTCCCTTATCCCTGTTTACACTGGACTCCTCAAGGAACCCAGGAGTCCTGGGTCATCCCTCATGCCCTGGATAGTAATCCCCATATAGTTATATGGGCAGCAATACACCCTCCATCCAACACTTCCTATCCCCCACCCTGCTGTTTTCTGTTTCCCCATAGCTCTTACCCATTTATCACTATCTGATCGGACATTTACTTCCTTTTTTTTTTTTTTTTTTTTGAGACGGAGTTTCGCTCTTGTTGCCCAGGCTGTAGTGCAGTGGCGCGATCTCTGCTCACTGCAACCTCCTCCTCCCGGATTCCAGTGATTCTTCTGCCTCAGCCTCCAGAGTAGCTAGGATTACAGGCATGCACCACCATGCCCAGCTAATTTTTGTGGGGTTTCACCATGTTGGTCAGGCTGGTCTCGAACTCCTGACCTCAGGTGATCCACTCGCCTCGGCCTCCCAAAATGCTGGGATTACAGGCGTGAGCCACTGTGCCCGGCTGAAATGTACTATTTTTTAACTTGTTTATCTGGCTCTCTACCCAGTGAAATCTAAGCTTTTTTTTTTTTTTTTTTTTTTTTTTAGAAATAGAGAAGAGGTCTCTCTATGTTGCCCAGGCTACTCTCAAACTCCTGGGCTCAAGGGATCCTCCTGCCTCAGCCTACCAAAGTGCTAGGATTACAGGCATGAGCCAGCACACCAAAACCTAAGCTTTTTGAGGCAAGATTTTATTCATCACTGTATTGACAAGCACGTAGAAGAGTGCCTGACATCAAGTAAGCACTGATATATATTCGTTGAATGAATAAAGAGTAAATGAGTGTTTCTTCCTCTTGCACAGGTATGCAAAGGAAAGGAGTACAGTGCCTTCCAATTCGTATTGAATATGTCCAGCAAAATTACTGTATTATTACCCTCCTGCATTTCTAAAGATTATTCCACAGCAACCAACTAAGGTTGCTGTGAGAAACTCTTAGGTTTGTGAGCCATTGCCCAAGGACATAGCTATTGGTCTCGAGAGGAATGAGGTAAGTTCTACCACTACTTCTGGGAAAGTATATTCCATGTCCCAACATTTATTCAATCAGCCAGGAAACGTTTCCTGAGTTCCTAATTTGTGCCAGACACTGTTCTAGGGACTGAAGATAAAGTGGTGAAAAAAGCAGATACCATCCCTGCCTTCAAGGAGCCTAGCCTTCATTAGGGAGTGATAAACACTGTGGTAAAAAAGAAAGCTGGGTAAGGGATTATAGAGTGTTGAGGAGTGCTGCTTAGATAGGGTGGTTTCTTTTGTTTATTTTTAATTTCAGTAGTTTTTGGGGTAAAGGTAGGTTTTGGTTACATGGGTAAGTTCTTCAGCGGTGATTTCTGAGATTTTGGTGCACCCATCAACCGAGCATATAGTCTTTTATTCCTTGCCCCTCTTTTACCTTTCTTTCCCTTGGGGTTCCTAAAGTCCATTATATAATTCCTATGCCTTTGCATCCTCATAGCTTAGCTCCCACTTATAAGTGAGAACAGACAATATTTGGTTTTCCATTCCTGAGTCACTTCACTTAGAATAATGGCCTCCTGGCCGGGCTCAGTGGCTCAAGCCTATAATCCCAGCACTTTGGGAGGCCGAGATGGGTGGATCACTTGAAGCCAGGAGTTTGAAACCAGTCTGGCCAACATGACGAAACCCCATCTCTACTAAAATACAAAAAAAAAAAAAAAAAAAAATTAGCCAGGCGTGGTGGCAGGCAATCCCAGCTACTTGGGAGGCTGAAGCACTTGAACCTGGGGGCAGAGGTTGCAGTGAGCTGAGATCACGTCATTGCACTTCAGCCTGGGTGACAGAGAGACTCAGCTTTCACAGAATTGAAGAGAGTTGGGGCCTTGCTCTGGGTTAGGCTTTGACTTAAGGAAATGTTGTGGCTGGGTTCATCTGTCCAGATCACTGAAACTTTCTCCCTATCAGCAATAAGGCTGTTTTGCTTTCTTATCATTTGTGTGTTCACTAAAGGGAATTTTAAATTTCCTTCAAGGGTTTTTCCTTTGCATTGATAATTTGGATAAATGACTGGCACAAGAGGCCTGGCTTTTGGCCTATCTTGGCTTTTGCCATGCCTTCCTCACTAAGCTTAATCATTTCTAGCTTTTGATTTAAAGTGAGACGTAATACTTCCTCCTTTCATCTCAGGTGATCCGCCCACCTCGGCCTCCCAAAATGCTAGGATTATAGGCATGAGCCACCTTGCCCAGCCCTAGAGTTATTTTTGAATAAAACAAACACATGACTGTTACAAATTAACTCTAAACACAGTGGAGAATCTCAGCTTTCTACACCACACTGTATCACACTCTACTCCACTTCCTAAGAGCACTGGGCAAGTGTAAAGTCACAGCCACATCAAAGAATTGAAATCTCAAGTGTGGTGATTCTTTTGTTTCTGATCTAAATTAATAATTTGTTGGTTGTATTAGATATGATTACACACCCCCTTCTCTTTTTTTCAAATAAATGAAAAAATGCTATCTCAGCTGCCTGCCTAGACTAAGAAACAAGTATTCACAATGAAGGTATTTATCAGCTCCCCTTCTTCCTCCTATAAAATAATACCACCACCATCACCACCATGCCATCCCCTGCCCCCAACAACCTTCGTCCACTTTTTTTTTTTTTTGAGAAGGAGTCTCACTCTGTCGCCCAGGCTGGAGTACACCGGAGTGATCTCGGCTCACTGCAACCTCCACCTCTGGGATTCAAACAATTCTCCTGCCTCAGCCTCCCAAGTAGCTGGGACTAAAGGTGCGTGCCACCACGCCCAGCTAATTTTTGCATTTTTAGTAGAGATAGGGTTTCACCATGTTGGCCAGGCTGGTCTCAAACTCCTGACCTCAGGTGATCCGCCTGCCTTGGCCACCCAAAGTGCTGGGACTGGAGGTGTGAGCCACCGCGCCCGGCCTCTCCACATTTTATTAGGGCTTTTTGTGTGATATTTGTCATCAAAAGGATCTCCACTGCACCTCAATTTTGCACATGAAATGTTTGTAAAGGCCAGAGAAATTGACGAGATAGCAGGTTTCTGAAGTTTTTGTGGTCTATTGTAACTATTATAACAACTCTTATCAAAATGTGGTTCTCAGGCCATTGGCATCAGCATCACCTTAGTCTGCTGAGAATGCAGATTTCCAGGCACCTCCCTAGAGTCTACTGAATGAGATGGCCTGAAGCTGAGGCCTGGGATTCTGTATGCATAAAAAAAGAGAGTCTCTGGTCTATAATAGATCTTACAATCCACCAGCCTAGTTTAATGACACTTTTACCTTCAAACAGATTGCCTTTATGCTATACCAGGGCAATACTCAGGGGACCTCTTTCAATCCCAGAAATTCTTCCTAATTTTTAGGAATACCTACAAATCATTCCTATACATTGGTTAAGAATCCTATCATAGGCCGGGCACGGTGGCTCACGCCTGTAATCCCAGCACTTTGAGAGGCCAAGGTGGGTGGATTACCTGACGTTGGGAGTTCAAGACCAGCCTGACCAACATGAAGAAACCCGGTCTCTACTAAAAATACAAAAAAATCAGTCAGACTTCGTGGTGCATGCCTGTAATCCCAGCTACTCGAGAGGCTAAGGCAGGAGAATCGCTTGAATCCAGATGGAGGTTGCTGTAAGCTGAGATCGTGCCATTGCACTCCAGCCTGGGCAACAAGAGCAAAACTCTGTCTCAAAAAACAAAAAAAGAATCCTATCATAGGCTGGGTGTGGTGGCTCATGCCTGTAATCGCAGCACTTTAGGAGGCCGAGGTGGGTGGATCACCTGAGGTCAGGAGTTTGAGACCAGCCTGGCCAACAAGGTGAAATCCCGTCTCTACTAAAAAATACAAAAAAATTAGCCAGGCGTGGTGGCAGGTGCCTGTATTCCCAGCTACCTGGGAGGCTGAGACAGAAGAATCGCTTGAACCCGGGAGGTGGAGGTTGCAGTGAGCTGAGATCGCGCCACTGCACTCCAGCCTGGGCGACAAGAGCAAAACTCCATCTCAAAAAAAAAAAAAAAAATCCTATGATAACTTCTTACTTTTTGGTGGAAAGTGCTTTCTCTCCATGTGAGCAAGGAGACTCAGCTTGATCCAGGAGCTCCTGCCACTGTTGGGAACAGGCTCTTTGGTTGTGGTATCAGTAAAGGACTGATAGGCATCCGGGAAGTGCCTCTTTTGAACTCTCAGTAAGCTGACTTGATTGCTTCGTTCCACCAAGCAGTTGGATTCACGCTTTTTGTTTATCTCCTCCAGGAGATGTTGTTTGCTTACTCCATGTTTTTTCATTATTTCAATGGTTCTGTTTATAGATGCCATTATGGTCACAAACCAATTGTCAAGTGATTCTTGCTGTCCTACAAACAAATGAAAAAATACTTTCAATTGTCTTTTTGACTCAGAAGCCAGTATTCACAATCACGTTTGCCAGTTTCTCTTTTTGCCTTCTATAAAATAACACCACAACCACCACCAAGCCTCCCACCCCACGCTTCACTTTTTTATTTACTTATTTTTTTAGACAGGGTCTTGCTCTGTCGCCCAGGTTGACACACAGTGGCATGATCTCAGCTCACTGCAACTTCCACCTTCCAGATTCAAGTGATTCTTGTGCCTCAGCCTCCTAAGTAGCTGGAATTACAGGCGCGCACTACCATGCCTGGCTAATTTTTCTATTATCAGTAGAGATGGGGTTTCGCCATGCTGGCCAGGCTGGTCTCGAACTCCTGTCCTCAGGTGATCCACCCACCTCAGCTTCCCAAAGTGCTGGGATTACAGGTGTCAGCCACTGTGCCCGGACAGCACACCTCACTTTTTTTTTATTTTTTTATTTTTTGAGATGGAGTCTCACTCTGTTGCCAAGGCTGGAGTGCAGTGGCTCGATCTCAGCTCACTGCAACCTCCGCCTCCAGGGTTCAAGCAATTCTCCTGCCTCAGCTTCCTGAGTAGCTGGGATTACAGGCATGCACCACCATGCCCAGCTAATTTTTTTTTTTTTTTGTATTTTTAGTAAAGACGGGGTGTCACCATATTGGCCAGGTTGGTCTCGAACTCCTGAAGTTGTGATCCACCCGCCTCGGCCTCCCAAAGTGCTGGGATTACAGGCATGAGCCACCGTACCCGGCCACACCTCACTTTTTATTATTGTTTCTTAAGGGTTTTATTTTTTGTTTTTTAGGTGTTCTTCAGGGGAAACAAAGGTTAAAAAGATATGGTAAGAGGATATATTATTGTTTTTTAAAATTATACTATGCATTGTTTTTTGCTTTTAGAAGCATTATTTCTTCTGATTATAAAAATAATACATGTTTATTACATATATTAATAATGTAATAGATAAATAATACATGTTTAATACATGATTATAAAAATAATACATATTCATGGTAGATAATTAAGAAAATACAGAAAAAGATAAAGTAGAAAAGTTAAAATTACTCTCGATCCAGAGACATCCATTAATATTTTGGGTGTTACTTTCCCAATAAGTATCCAAAGGGATTTTATTTTTTAAAAGTGGCGGCCAGGCGCTGTGGCTCATGCCTGTAATCCCAGCACGTTGGGAGGCCAAGGCGGGCAGATCACAAGGTCAGGAGTTCAAGACCAGCCTGGCCAACATAGTGAAACCCTGTCTCTACTAAAAATACAAAAAATTAGCCAGGCATGGTGGCAGGCACCTGTAATCCCAGCTACTCAGGAGCCTGAGGCATGAGAGTCGCTTGAACCCGGGAGGCAGAGGTTGCAGTGAGCTGAGATCACGCGATTGCACTCCAGCCTGTGCGACAGTGTGAGACTCTGTCTCAAAAAATAAAATAAAATAAAGTGGCCAGGCGCAGTGGCTCACGCCTATAATCCCAACACTTTGGAAGGCCTAGGTGGGAGGATCACTTAAGCCTGGGAGGTGAAGGTTGCAGTGAGCTGAGATTGTGCCATTGCACTCCAGCCTGGGTGTCAGAGCAAGATTTGGAAAGATAGCGAAATATTCAGCACTGATAAATGATACAGTCCACAGTCTCAAGAAGCTCAAACAATAGCAGTCAGGATTTTTAAAAAGCCCACGCTGAGATTACAGTGAACTTAAAAAGAAAAGAAAATCTTAAAAGCAACCAGAGAATAAAAGGAGGGACAATTGGACCAACAGCTGACTCCTCAACAAGCAATAACATAAACCAGAAGACAAAGAAATGGGGCTGGGCGTGATGGCTCACACCTACAATCCCAGCACTTTGGGAGGCCGAGGTGTATGGGTCACCTGAGGTCAGGAGTTCGAGACCAGCCTGTTCAACATGGCAAAACCCTGTCACTACTAAAAATACATAAAAAAATTAACCGGGCATGGTGGTATGCACTTGTAATCCCAGCTACTCAGGAGGCTGAGGCAGGAGAATTGTTTGAACCTGGGAGGCGAGGTTGCGGTGAGTCAAGATCATAGCACTACACTCCAGCTTGGGCGGCAGAGCAGGACTTTGTCTAAAAAAAAAAAAAAAAATACATTCGTCATCATCAGTCACTAGGAAAGTGTAAATCAATACTACAATGAGATATCACTACATACCACTAGAATGGCTGAAATGAAAAAGACTGACCAAACCATGTGTTAGCAAAGATATGGAGGACCTGGAATTCTCATATGCTGCTAGTGAGAATGTAAAATGGAACAATGTCTGGAAAATAATCATGCAGCTTCTTAAAAAGTTAAACATACTCCTATCATTTGATCCATTCCTAGGTATTTACCCTAGAGCAATGAAATTCTCCAAACACATGCATAAAGAAATGTATCTGTACATATGAAAACTAACACATGAATGTTAATCACAGCTTTTTAAAAAACTTTTGTTGTTGTTGTTGTTGTTTTTACACAGCTTTATTTTTATTTATTTATTTTTGAGACAGGGTCTCTTTCTGTCACCCAGGCTAGAGTGAAGTGGCGTGACCATGGCTCACGGCATCCTCGACCTCCCAGGCTCAAGCCATCTTCCCACCTCAGCCTCCCAAGTAGCTGGGATACAGGCGCAGGCCACCACACCTGGCTATTTTTGTTTTTATTTTTCATAGAGATGAGGTCTCATTATGTTCCTAAGGCTAGTCTTGAATCCTGGGCTCAAGGGATCCTCCTGCCTTGGCCTCCCAGAGTACTGAGATTACAGGTGTGAGCACAGCCACCAGGCCCAGCCCACTGCTTTATTTTTATGAGCCAAAAAGTTCTAACAACCCAAATGTCCATCAGAAGCAGAACAAATAAATTGTGGTATATGTGCACAATTGACACTGAGTTATAAAATATATTTATATATATTATATATATATATAATATATTCCTTTTACCTGAGATGCTAATTCATCAATATATATTTTTGAGTAGTGTTCATATATTGTTGATAAACACAATATTATGGCTGAAGCTCAAAATAACTATGCTGAGTAAAAAGAAAAAAAAAAAGCCAGACAAATCAGAATGTATAGTGTACGATTCCATGCATATAAAACTCTAGGAAATATTAGGCTAGGTATGGTGGCTCATGCCTATAATCCCAGCACTTTGGAAAGCTGAGGAAGGAGGACTGCTTGAGCTCAGGAGTTCAAGACCAGACTAAGCAATATAATGAGACCTTGTCTCTACAGAAAATTCAAGAATTTAACTAGGTGTGGTGGCACCTGCCTGTAATCCCAGCTACTCAGGAGGCTGAGGTGGAAGGATGGCTTGAACCCAGGAGGTGGAGGTTGCAGTGAGCCGTGATCACAAAACTGCACTCCAGCTTGGGCAACACAGCAAGACCCTATGTCAAAAAAAAAAAAAAATGCTAGGAAATATGAAGTCCCCTACAGTGACAAATGAAAATCAATGGTTGCTTGGGAATGGGGAAAGGTAGGCAGCAAGGGTGGCAGGGATTACAAGGGATATGAATAAACTTTGGGGCTGATGAATATGTTTATTATCTTAATTGTGGTGATGCTTTCCTGGGTGTATGCATATGTCAAAAACATCAAACTGTACATTTTAAACATGGACAGTTCATTGTATGTCAATGACCAGTCAATAAAGCTCTTACATAAAATTGGGCTGAGTACCTAGCACATTGCCTAATGAATATCAGGTGGTTGATAAATATTTTAATGAATGAATAAATAGTATATATTACTTACAAGTTTTGATTTTCTTTCACTTTAATATAGTTATTGTGAGAATTTTTCATGTCTTTACATATGTCATTAGTAATAAAAATGTAAGATTTGACAATGTAATAGTCTATCATGTGAATTTATAATTTTTTTTCTTTTTTTAAATTTAATTTTAGTGGGCCAGGCGCAGTGGCTCATGCCTGTAATCCCTGCACTTTGGGAGGCCAAGGCAGGCAGATCACCTGTCAGGAGTTCAAGACCAGCCTGGCCAACATGGTGAAACCCCGTCTTTACAAAAATACAAAACTTAGCCGGGCGTGGTGGCGCGCACCTGTAATCCCAGCTACTTGGAAGGCTGATTCGGAAGAATCACTTGAACCCGGAAGATAGAGGTTATAGTGAGCGGAGATCGTTCCATTGCACCCCAGCCTGGGCAGCAGAGCGAGTCTCCGTCTCAAAAACAAACACACAAAATTAATTTTAATTTTAAATTATTTTGTTTTCATTTTGTTTTGTTTTTTTGAGACAGAGTCTTGCTCTGTCGTCCAGGCTGGAGTGCAGGTTCAAGCGATTCTCGTGCCTCAGCCTCCCAAAGTAGCTGGGATTACAGAGGCGCACCACCATGCCCAGCTACTTTTTGTACAGGCGTGGGCCACCGCCCTCGCCTGTTTTGTTTTGTTTTGAGACCGAATCTCGCTCTGTCGCCCAAGCTGGAGTGCAGGGGCGCGATCTTGGCTCACTGCAAGCTCTGCCTCCTGGGTTCAAGCCATTCTCCTGCCTCAGCCTCTCGAGTAGGTGGGACTACAGGCGTCCGCCACCACGCCCGGCTAATTTTTTTGTATTTTTAGTAGAGACGGGGTTTCACCATGTTAGCCAGGATGGACTCGATCTCCTGACCTCTTGATCTGCCCGCCTTGGCCTCCCAAAGTGCTGGGATTACAGGACTGAGCCACCGCACCCGGCTCCGCGCTCACCTTTTAAATTCTCTCTCTCTCTCTTCTTTTTTGAGGCGGAGTCTCTCTCTGTCTCCAGGATGGAGTCCAGTGGAGTGATATCGGCTCACTGCAACCCTGACTCCCTGGTTTCATGCGATTCTCCTGCCTCAGCCTCCCCAGTAGCTGGGATTACAGGCATGTGCCACCACACCCAGCTAATGTTTGTAAGTCTTTTTAAATTCTTTTAGAGTGGGAGACACCATCTTTCCTTTTTTTTTCTTTTCTTTTGAGATGGGGTCTCATTCTGTCACCCAGGCTGGAATCCAGGGGCATGATCTTGGCTCACTGCAACCTCTGCCTCCTAGGCTCAAGTGATCTTCCAACCTCAGCCTCCTGAGTGGCTGGGACCACCACAAGTGCGCACCACCATGCCCAGCTAATTTTTTTGTATTTTTGGTAGAGACAGGGTTTCAACATGTTGCCCAGGCTGGGCTGAAACTCCTAAGCTCAAGCGATCTACCCACCTCAGCCTTTCAAAGGCTGGGATTACAGGTATAAGCCACTGTGCCTCACATTAATTATTCTTTTTATTGCTAGACTTTAGGTTGTTTTTGATTTATTTTTATAATAATGCTTTGAAACACATTGAAGTGACAGAAATCACACAAACACACATTGTTTTAGGAAAGCTACCAGAGCCATCAATTTTTCTTTCCTAAATAAGCAAAGAAGAGGTATCTTTCTTTTTTTTTTTTTTTTTTTTCTTTTAAGAAGGAGTCTCGCTCTGTCGCCCAGGCTGGGCGTCACTCCCTCTCAAAAAAATAAAATAAAATAATAAAAAATAAAAAGGTCAGTTTGTCAAGTGCCTATTTTTGTTTGTTAGTTTTGAAATGGAGTCTCACTCTGTCACCCAGGCTGGAGTGCAGTGGCGTGATCTTGGCTCACTACAGCCTCTGCCTCCTGGGTTCAAGAGGTTCTCATGCTTCAGCCTACTGAGTAGCTGGGATTACAGGTGTGCACCACCATGCCCAGCTAATTTTTTTGTATTTTTAGTAGAGAGGGGGTTTTCACCATGTTGGCCAGGCTGGTCTTGAACTCCTGACCTCAAGTGATCTGCCCGCCTTGGCCTCCCAAATTGCTGGGATTACAGGCGTAAGTCATCACTCCCAGCCTGAGTTAATTTATATTTTGTTAAAAGTCCATTTTAGGCTGGGTGCGGTGGCTCATGCCTGTAATCCCATCACTTTGGGAGGCCGAGGCGGGTGGATCACCTGACGTCAGGGGTTCGAGACCAGCCTGGCCAACATGGTGAAACCCGGTCTCTACTGAAAATACAAAAATTAGCCAAGTGTGGTGGCAGGCACCTGTAATCCCAGCTACTCAGGAGGCTGAGGCTGGAGAATTGCTTGAACCTGGGAGGCAGAGGTTGCAGTCAGCCGAGATCACACCATTGCACTCCAGCCTGGGGGACAAGAATGAAACTTGGTCTCAAAAAAATAAAATAAAAATAAAATAAAAGCCCATTTTATAGGTGAACTGCAAATAAAACATAGATGTCTTAGTTAAAAGTTCACCATGAAGTTCTCAAAATTCAAACTCTTATTACAAGTTACCTGACAACTGGAGCTAAATAAAACAAAATAGACACAGTAATAGAGTCTAGTGGTACAAGCATATTTTTTAAGTAAAAAAGATTTGATTAATATTTTACCTATGCTGCCTCCTAACTGTATGATCTTGTTTAAGTTACTTACCTTCTCTGGGCCTCAGTTTCCTGATGTGTTAAATGAAAATAATATCCAGGCCAGGTGCGGTGGCTCACGCCTGTGATCCCAACACTTTGGGAGGCCTAGGCAGGTGGATCACCTGAAGTTGGGAGTTCAAAATCAGCCTGGCCAACATGGTGAAACCCTGTCTCGGCTGGGCGTGGTGGCTCACGCCTGTAATCCCAGCATGTTGGGAGGCCGAGGCAGGCGGATCACTAGGTCAGGAGATCAAGACCATCCTGGCTAACACGGTGAAACCCTGTCTCTACTAAAAATACAAAAAAAAAAAAAAATTAGCTGGGCGTGGTGGCATGCGCCTGTAGTCCCAGCTACTTGTGAGGGTGAGGCAGGAGAATGGTGTGAACCCAGGAGGCGGAGCTTGCAGCGAGCCGAGATTGCACCACTGCACTCCAGCCTGGGCAACAGAGCAAGACTCCGTCAAACATACACACACACACACACACACACACACACACACACACACACTTAGCTGGGCGCGGTGGCACATGCCTGTAATCCCAGCTACTCTGGAGGCTGAGGCAGGAGAATTGCTTGAACTCCAGCGGCAGAGGTTGCGGTGAGCCAAGACCGCACCATTGCACTCCAGCCTGGGCAACAAAAGTGACACTCCATCTCAAAAAAAAAAAGAAAAGAAAGAAAGAAAAGTAAAGAAAATAATATCCAACTCACAGAGTGTCATAAGGACTAAATGAGCTAATAAATACCAAGAGCTTAATACAACCAACCCTCAATAAGTGGTAACTTTATCATATTAAATAGGCACTTTAAAAAAAGTTTTGTTCAATTTGATAAGTAAATAATTTAGTATTTTCTTTTCTCCCCAGTTTCTAATCTTGTTTACTTGCTGTGTGACTAGAATTGGCTACATAATTTGTAGGGTCCAGCGAAAATAAAAATGCTGGACCCTTTATTAACAAACAATGGAGACGTTCAAGGTAATGACAGTAAAACTTAAAGCCAATTGTGAGACCCTTCTGAGCAAAGGGCCCTATGTGACTGTTTGGGTCTCATGCCTGTGAAACTGGTCCTGTGTGTGACATAGGAACAGGCCAATTCCAACTGCTAATTCATCCAATTTTACAATCTCTTAAATGGAGATAAGTAATATGTTTAACTAATGACTTTGAAAGGTCTGGTCCAAAAACCAGACAAGTCTTACAGGTTAGTTCAGGATCTGTGCCTTATCAACCAAATTGTCTTGCCTATCCACCCTGTAGTGCCAAACCCATATACTCTCCTATCCTCAATATCTCCCTCCATTATTCTGTTCTAGATCAACCTAACTGACCCCATAAATCCTAAATCCTTTCCCCACTCTCCTTTCCATTCCTTAAAAGACAGCCCTAAAAGCTGCTCCCACACTAGCTCTCCCTAACTCATCCCAACTTTTTCATTACACACAGCCAAAGTGCAGGGCTGTGTGGTCAGAATTCTTACACAAGAGCCGGGACTGCACCCTGTAGCCTTTTGGTCCAAACAACTTGACTTTACTGTTTTAGCTTAGCCCTCATGTCTGTGTGCAGCGGCTGCTGCTGCTGCTTTAATACTTTTAGAGGCCCTCAAAATCACAAGCTATGCTCCACTTACTCTCTACAGTTCCCATAACTTTCAAAATCCATTTTCCTCCTCACACTTGACGCATATACTTTCTGCCCCTCAGCTCCTTCAACTATACTCACTCTTTGCTGCGTCTCCCACAGTTACCATTGTTCCTGGCCTGGACTTCAATCTGGCCTCCCACATTATTCCTGATACAACACCTGACCCCCATGACGCTATCTCTCTGATCCACCTGACATTCACTCCATTTCCCCATATTTCCTTCTTTCCTGTTTCTCACCCTGATCACACTATTGATGGCAGTTCCACCATGCCTAATCGCCACTCACCAGCAAAGGCAGGCTATGCTATTGTATCTTCTACATCTATCACTGAGGCTACTGCTCTGCCCCCCTCCACTATGTCTCAGTAAGCCAAACTCATTGCCTTAACTCAGGCCCTCACTCTTGCAAGGGACTATGCATCAATATTTATACTGACTCTAAATATGCCTTCCATATCCTGCACCACCATGCTGTTATATGGGCTGAAAGAGGTTTCCTCACTACGCAAGTATCCTCTATCATTAATACTTCTTTAATAAAAACTCTTCTCAAGGCCACTTTACTTCCAAAGGAAGCTGGAGTCATTCACTGCAAGGGCCACCAAAAGGCATCAGATCCCATCGCTCAGGGCAATGCTTATGCTGATAAGGTAACCAAAGAAGCAGCTAGCCTTCCAACTTCTGTCCCTCATGGCCAGTTTTTCTCCTTCTCATTGGTCACTCCTACCTACACCCCACTGAAACTTCCACCTATCAATCTCTTCCCACACAAGGCAAATGGTTCTTGGACCAAGGAAAATATCTCCTTCCAGCCTCACAGGCCCATTCTATTCTGTTGTCATTTCATAATCTCTTCCATGTAGGTTACAAGCTACTAGCCCGTCTCTTAGAACCTCTCATTTCCTTTCTATCGTGAAAATCTATCCTCAAGAAAATCACTTCTCAGTGTTCCATCTACTATTCTACTACCCCTCAGGGATTGTTCAGGCCCCCTCCCTTCCCTACACATCAAGCTTGGGGATTTGCCCCTGCCCAGGACTGGCAAATTGACTTTACTCACATGCCCCAAGTCAGGAAACTAAAATACCTCTTGGTCTGGGTAGACACTTTCACTGGATGGGTAGAGGCCTTTCCCTCAGGGTCTGAGAAGGCCACCGCAGTCATTTCTTCCCTTCTGTCAGACATAATTCCTCAGTTTGGCCTTCCCACCTCTATACAGTCTGATAATGGACCGGCCTTTATTAGTCAAATCACCTGAGCAATTTCTCAGGCTCTTGGTATTTAATGGCTCCTGGTTTTACCTCAAATCGCCACCCTTAAGTCTCTGTTTAAGTGGATAGAAGATCTTCATTGACAAAGTACACTCCTATACTTTCACCCTGATGAAGTCCTATTCTTTACTTTTATACTCACTCTTATTCTGGTTCCCGTTCTTATGCCACCCTCTACCTCTCCCCAGCTATCTCCACCACACTGTCAATCTCACTCTCTCCTAGCTGTTTCTAATCCTTCTTTAACAAACAATTGCTGGCTTTGCATTTCTCTTTCCTCCAAAATCACCCAGGCCTCCACTTATTCACTGCTAAAAAAAGAGGACTCTATATTTTTAAACAAACAGTGTTTTTACCTAAATCAATCTGGCCTGGTATATGACAACATAAAAAAACTCAAGGATAGAGCCCAAAAACTCACCAACCAAGCAAATAATTATGCTGAACCCCCTTGGGCACTCCTTAATTGGATGTCCTGGGTCCTCCCAATTCTTAGTCCTTTAATACCTATTTTTCTCCTTCTCTTATTCGGACCTTGTGTCTTCCTTCCATTTAGTTTCTCAATTCATACAAAACCACATCCAGGTCATCACCAATCATTCTATACGACAAATGCCCCTTCTAACAAGCCCATAATATCACCCCTTACCCCAAAATCTTTCTTCAGTTTAATCTCTCCCACTCTAGGTTCCCATGCTGCCCCAATCCTGCTTGAAGCAACCCTGAAAAACATTGCCATTATCTCTCCATACCACCCCCAAAAGTTTTCGCTGCCTCAACACTTCACCACTGTTTTGTTTTGTTTTTCTTATTATAATATAAGAAGACAGGAATGTCAGGCCTCTGAGCCCAAGCTAAGCCATCATATCCCCTGTGACCTGTACGTATACATCTAGATGGTCTGAAGCAACTGAATATCCACAAAAGACCTGAAAATAGCCTTAACTGATGACGTTCCACCACTGTGATTTGTTCCTGCCCCACCCTAACTGATATGATATATTCTCCCCTGCCCTTAAGAAGGTACTTTGTAATATTCTCCCCCCTCCACTTAAGAAGGTACTTTGTAATATTCTTCCCTGCCCTTAGGAATGTACTTTGTACACCTATCCCAAACCTATATGAACTAATGATAATCCCACCACCCTTTGCTAACTCCTTTTTTGGACTCGGCCCGCCTGCACCCAGGTGAAATAAACAGCCTTGTTGCTCACACAAAGCCTGTTTGGTGGTCTCTTCACATGGACGCACGTGACAAAAGGGGCTTTGAAGGGCTCCCCAAAATAGCTCAGTTGGGAGAGCATTAGACTGAAAAGGGCTTTGAAACTTCTTTTTCTTTTCTTTTTTTCTCTTTCTGAGACAAGGTCTCACTTTGTCACCCAGGCTGGAGTGCAGTGAGTGACTTGATCACAGCTCACTGCAGCCTCAACCTCCCGGGCTCAGGTGATCCCCCCACCTCACCTTCCAAGTAGCTGGAACTACAGGCACACACCACCATGCCTGGCTAATTTTTGTATTTTTTGTAGAGATGTCATTTTGCCATGTCGCCCAGGCTGGTCTTGAACTCCTGGGGTCAAATGATCCTCCTGCTTCAGCCTCCCAAAGTGCTGGGATTACAGGCGTGAGCAACTGTGCCCAGCCCAGGTTTTGAAAATATTAAACATGCATATACAGTAGATCCTCATTACTCATTGATTACGTATTTGCAAATTTGGCTACTCCCTAAAATGTATTTGTTATACATATAGCAAATAGCACTAGTAGCACTAGCCTGGGAAAAAGATCAAAACTGTGGTTTCCATATTGCTTTTGCGCCATCCATATTGCTTTTGAGCCATTGTAAAGTCGAAAAATTGTATGTCAAACAATTGTAAGTTAGGGGCCGGCCGTATTCTTTCTAGGAGCAATGGTTCAGTATTTGCTAATTTAATGTTTGTGGCAACTTTATAGAACATAACTATCATAATAATAAGAATTGACTGTACGAGAAAATATATTACTATTTCTACAGGTATATTATTATAAATTACCTTTAGCATACTACCATACAGCAACCCAAAGCGTGTTTCAAGTCCACTGGTGTGGATTAGCCCACTGGGATGACACCTTGGTGATGGAATATTCTGATCAGTGCCATTCCAACTTTGTTCTATTCATAGAAGCCTGGTTAAGAGAGGTTCTGGAGTCAGAGATCATTTACTTACCAGCCAGGTGACCTTGGATAAATATAAATTCCTCTACCCTCTTTTTTTTTTTTTTTTTTTTTTTTTTGGAGACAAGGTCTTGCTCTGTCACCCAGGCTGGAGTGCAATGGTGCAATCACAGTTTCATTATGTCGGCCACGCTGCTCTTGAACTCCTGAGCTCAAGCGATTCCTCTTGGCCTCCCAAAATGCTGGGATTACAGGTGTGCATCACCAGGCCCAGCCATTCAACCCTCGTAATATTGGTTTCATCATTTGCAAAATGGGGGCTAAAGATACTGCTTTCACCAAGCTGTGTGTTTGTATGTGTGGTAAGTGATGAGGAGAGTGTTGAGATTAAATTAGGAATGCATGTAAAGATTTTTGCATTGTGGCTGGCATCAATTTATTACATGTACTGATATGTTTTGAGCACATACTGTGCTTGGAGCTATTGTGGATACTGGGGACAAATGGGTCCTTGCCCCGATGAAGAAGAGTTCTAATCTAAAGATTCATTGTAAGTACTCAGTAAGTGGTAGCTACTTTATTGGTTTTATTAAAACTTTATATTTTACATGGGGAACTTGTTGTTGTTGTTTGTTTTTGTTTTGGTTTGGTTTTTGAGATGGAGTTTCACTGTTGTTGCCCAGGCTGGAATGCAATGACACGATCTCGGCTTACTGCAACCTCCATCTCCCAGGTTCAAGTGATTCTCCTGTCTCAGCCTCCTGAGTAGCTGGGATTACAGGCATACGCCACCACATCCGGCTAATTTTGTATTTTTAGTAGAAATGAGGTTTCACCAAGTTAGCCAGGCTGGTCTCGAACTCCTGACCTCAGGTGATCTGCCTACCTTGGCCTCCCTGGCCTCTTTTGTTTTTTGAGACAGGATCTCATTCCATCGGACAGGCTAGAGTGCAGTGGTGTGATTGAGGCTTACTGCAACCTCGACCTCCTGAACTCAGGTGATCCTCTCACCTCTGCCTCCTGAGTAGCTGGGACTACAGGCGTGGACCACCACAACTGGCTAATTTTTAAATTTCTCATAGAGACGGGGTTTTGCCATGTTGCCCAAGCTACATGGAAAGTTATTTTATTCATATATTTCTTTTCTAAGAAGAGGAGGTCTCCAGTTTTTTTTTTTTTTAAATCTTCAGGTCACTCTGGAATGTTTCCAATGTGGAGGAAGGGGCCCAGCAAAACTAACTAACTCACTCACTACATGGAGAAGCAACTCAAGAAACAAGCTGACTCAAGAAATTAGAGATCATTCATAGTGCCATTGTTGCCTTCAAAGGTGGGCAGTGCATTTTTTAAAAACACATTTATTTATTTTATTTTTTTGGTGGCAAGGTCTTGCTCTGTTGCCCAGGCTAGAGTGCAGTGGCATGATCTTGGCTCATTGCAACCCCCGCCTCCAGGGCTCAAGCCATCCTCCCACCTCAGCCTCCCAAGTAGCTGGAAGAATAGGTTTGTGTCACCAGGCCCGGCTAATTTTTGTATTTTTTGTAAAGACAAGGTCTCGCTATGTTACCCAGGCTTGTCTCGAATTCCTGAGCTCAAGCCATCCTCCTGCTCGGTCTCCCAAAGTGCTGGGATTACAGGCCTGAGCCACCGCTCCCAGCCAACACATTTATTTACTTTTAGAAAATACAGTTTAATCCATCTTGAATTGATTTTTGTATAAGGTGTAAGGAAGGGATCCAGTTTCAGCTTTCTACATATGGCTAGCCAGTTTTCCCAGCACCATTTATTAAATAGGGAATCCTTTCCCCATTGCTTGTTTTTCTCAGGTTTGTCAAAGATCAGATAGTTGTAGGTATGCGGCGTTATTTCTGAGGGCTCTGTTCTGTTCCATTGATCTATATCTCTGTTTTGGTACCAGTACCATGCTGTTTTGGTTACTGTAGCCTTGTAGTATAGTTTGAAGTCAGGTAGTGTGATGCCTCCAGCTTTGTTCTTTTGGCTTAGGATTGACTTGGCGATGCGGGCTCTTTTTTGGTTCCATATGAACTTTAAAGTAGTTTTTTCCAATTCTGTGAAGAAAGTCATTGGTAGCTTGATGGGGATGGCATTGAATCTGTAAATTACCTTGGGCAGTATGGCCATTTTCACGATATTGATTCTTCCTACCCATGAGCATGGAATGTTCTTCCATTTGTTTGTATCCTCTTTTATTTCCTTGAGCAGTGGTTTGTAGTTCTCCTTGAAGAGGTCCTTCACATCCCTTGTAAGTTGGATTCCTAGGTATTTTATTCTCTTTGAAGCAATTGTGAATGGGAGTTCACTCATGATTTGGCTCTCTGTTTGTCTGTTGTTGGTGTATAAGAATGCTTGTGATTTTTGTACATTGATTTTGTATCCTGAGACTTTGCTGAAGTTGCTTATCAGCTTAAGGAGATTTTGGGCTGAGACAATGGGGTTTTCTAGATAAACAATCATGTCATCTGCAAACAGGGACAATTTGACTTCCTCTTTTCCTAATTGAATACCTTTTATTTCCTTCTCCTGCCTGATTGCCCTGGCCAGAACTTCCAACACTATGTTGAATAGGAGTGGTGAGAGAGGGCATCCCTGTCTTGTGCCAGTTTTCAAAGGGAATGCTTCCAGTTTTTGCCCGTTCAGTATGATATTGGCTGTGGGTTTGTCATAGATAGCTCTTATTATTTTGAAATATGTCCCATCAATACCTAATTTATTGAGAGTTTTTAGCATGAAGGGTTGTTGAATTTTGTCAAAGGCTTTTTCTGCATCTATTGAGATAATCATGTGGTTTTTGTCTTTGGCTCTGTTTATATGCTGGATTACATTTATTGATTTGCGTATATTGAACCAGCCTTGCATCCCAGGGATGAAGCCCACTTGATCATGGTGGATAAGCTTTTTGATGTGCTGCTGGATTCGGTTTGCCAGTATTTTATTGAGGATTTTTGCATCAATGTTCATCAAGGATATTGGTCTAAAATTCTCTTTTTTGGTTGTGTCTCTGCCCGGCTTTGGTATCAGAATGATGCTGGCCTCATAAAATGAGTTAGGGAGGATTCCCTCTTTTTCTATTGATTGGAATAGTTTCAGAAGGAATGGTACCAGTTCCTCCTTGTACCTCTGGTAGAATTCGGCTGTGAATCCATCTGGTCCTGGACTCTTTTTGGTTGGTAAACTATTGATTATTGCCACAATTTCAGCTCCTGTTATTGGTCTATTCAGAGATTCAACTTCTTCCTGGTTTAGTCTTGGGAGAGTGTATGTGTCGAGGAATTTATCCATTTCTTCTAGATTTTCTAGTTTATTTGTGTAGAGGTGTTTGTAGTATTCTCTGATGGTAGTTTGTATTTCTGTGGGAACGGTGGTGATATCCCCTTTATCATTTTTTATCGTGTCTATTTGATTCTTCTCTCTTTTTTTCTTTATTAGTCTTGCTAGCGGTCTATCAATTTTGTTGATCCTTTCAGAAAACCAGCTCCTGGATTCATTGATTTTTTGAAGGGTTTTTTGTGTCTCTATTTCCTTCAGTTCTGCTCTGATTTTAGTTATTTCTTGCCTTCTGCTAGCTTTTCAATGTGTTTGCTCTTGCTTTTCTAGTTCTTTTAATTGTGATGTTAGGGTGTCAATTTTGGATCTTTCCTGCTTTCTCTTGTGGGCATTTAGTGCTATAAATTTCCCTCTACACACTGCTTTGAATGCGTCCCAGAGATTCTGGTATGTTGTGTCTTTGTCCTTTGTAGGGACATGGATGAAACTGGAAACCATCATTCTCAGTAAACTATCGCAAGAACAAAAAACCAAACACCGCATATTCTCACTCATAGGTGGGAATTGAACAATGAGATCACATGGACACAGGAAGGGGAATATCACACTCTGGGGACTGTGGTGGGGTGGGGGGAGGGGGGAGGGATAGCATTGGGAGATATAACTAATGCTAGATGACGAGTTAGTGGGTGCAGCGCACCAGCATGGCACATGTATACATATGTAACTAACCTGCACAATGTGCACATGTACCCTAAAACTTAAAGTATAATAAAAAAAAAAAAGAAAAGTAAAAATTGGAGTAAAAAAAAAAAAAAAAAAAAAAAAGAAGATACCTGTGAGTGAGACCTCTCCCTTCCAAATCGCCATTCGAATATTAATATAGTAAAATATTAGTGCCATTCAGATAGTATTAGGGAGGGTATGGAGTTTATTTCAGGACCAATTGGGAATATCAAGTAGTATAAAACCATTCAGATCTGGGAAAACCAACTTTATTTTAGTGTAAGACATCTGCCAATTTTATGTATTTTGTCATCCTTTTTAATACTGTCTTTGAATGATTTTTTTGGTATGAAAATAAATTTTTAAAGTGAAATAAAAAAAAGAAAATACAGTTTAGTTCAACATAGTTTATGTATATCTGCTTTCACTACATCTTAAGAGATTCAGAAAGTTCTTGTTAATAATAAGGCCCAGCATGGAACTAGGGTGTACTTTGCATTTGTATAACCCAGGTGGAAGAGCATATGTAGGCTAAAGAAACAAACAAAAAACCGATAAAAGAACAATAGGGCCTAGCCAGGGTGAAGGTACCTTAAGGCAACAAGAGAGGGAGGAAGGGGCTTCCGAGAAGGAGGGAAGAAAAAAAACTTCAGAAATAAGTGTTAGAGGGCTGTTGCAGTGGCTCACTAATCCCAGCACTTTGGGAGGGTGAGGTGGACAGATCACTTGAAGTCAGGAGTTCAAGACCAGCCTGGCCAACATGGCGAAACCCCATCTCTACAAAAAACACAAAAATTTGCCGGGCATGGTTGCATGCGCCTGTAATCCCAGCTATTTGGGAGGCTGAAGTGGGAGGTTGAATCTGTTTAGTAAATTGGGGGCTTAGAATATTTCATTTTTGGTTTACAGGGGCTTGAGTTCTCCTTGTGGCCTGTCTCCATATGGCATTTCCTCTAGCTACAGTTTTCAGGAGCTATTTGGTCTCTCAACTCTAAGCATACAAAACCCTTAAGACTCCTCTGTAGTAGATGCTCTGAACAAGCCAGGGCTGGGAAGGAGGTCTATTTATTTTTTGACTCAATTCTTTCATCAGAGTTTCAGTAAGTGAGTTACAAATTAGTGAATCAAGAGGAAACATGTGAAGCAGTTGCACAGTTTTTTCAGAGTAAATCTGGAAATGAAGATATTAGTTGCTACAGGTGGGAGGGGTGAGCAGAGGCAGATTTACCATGAAGTTAATATGAGGGTCTCTGAAGGCTTGTATCTCTCTCTCTCTCTTTTTTTTTTTTGACAAGGCCTCACTCTGTTGCCTAGGCTGGAGTGGCGTGATCTCAGCCCATTGCAGCCTTGACCTCCTGGGCTCAAGCGATCTTCCCACCTCAGCCTCTCAGGTAGCTGGGACTACAGGCATGCACCAGGCCCAGCTAAATACTGTATTTTTTTGGTAGAGAAGGGGTTTCGCCATGTTACCCAGGCTGGTCTTGAACCCAGGCTCGCCATTGCACTCCAGACTGGGCAACAAGAGCGAGACTCCATCTCAAAAAATAAATAAAAAAATAAATAAAAAGATCTAGAAAAGTGACAGAATAATTTGTTCCCATCTCACCAGTTTGGTTTCGCTGTACTGATGACCTCAACTGGCATCATGGACCGAGAAGAAACAAGACAAAAACACAGGAGAAAAAATCCTGGGACTCTTTTTTTTTTTTTTTTTTCAGGAATAAATATATACAAATAAAATGTCTCAATGGAGGGAAGAATACATGTGGGAGGATTCTGATTTCCAACCTTCTCCTCTACTCCTCCATTTCCAACTTGATCTTTTCACAAAATAGAACCATATAGCCTCTGCTGATCAGGTGGACAGAGCCTGATGCTAGTAGGAGTAAACTGAAGGCAAGGTTGCCCAAATCTACCCACCTCCCCATGAAACATCATGGATTGCACATCCAATAGCATTGTTCTGGTTTGCATCTTAACCTCTGAGGCTCGTAAACTGTGGCAAACCTTTGTTCAGGGACAGCTACATCACTCCTATTAGCATCTTGGACCTTGGCTCCTGGATGCTGTCCAGATCTCATATTGCTGAAGTGTTACTTATTCAAATCTCTCTGACTTGGCATTCCACACCCATAAAGTAGCTCAATCTCATCTTGACTCCCAGCCAAACGATGCTCCCAGTAGTATCTTTTTTGACAGAGATTAAGGTTCATTTTACGTTATACATCCAAACATTTGATATAAATAATGACTCATGTTTAAACTGGTTAATAAATATCTACCACTGAAGCCAGAGAAAGAAGACAAGATTAAGAAATTAGAATGGTGGCCGGGCACGGTGGCTCATGCCTGTAACCCCAGCACTTTGGGAGGCTGAGGTAGGTGGATCACCTGAGGTCAGGAGTTCGAGACCAGCCTGACCGACATGGAGAAACCCTGTCTCTACTAAAAATACAAAAATTACCCGGGTGTGGGCACCTGTAATCTCAGTTACTTGGGAGGCTGAGGCAGGAGAATCACTTGAACCCGGGAGGCAGAAGTTGCAGTCAGCTGAGATTTCATCATTGCACTCCAGCCTGGACTCCAAGGGCAAAGCTCTGTGTCAAAAAAAGAAAAAGGAAAAGAGAAAGAAATAGATTTCACTCCCTCCTTCCCTTCCTTCTGGAAGTTTGCAAGACTTTTTTTGTTTTTGTTTTTGTTTTTGTTTTTTTCTGAGACGGAGTCTCGCTCTATCGCCCAGGCTGGAGTGCAGTGGCGCGATCTCGGCTCACTGCAAGCTCCACCTCCTGGGTTTACGCTATTCTCCTGCCTCAGCCTCTCGAGTAGCTGGGACTACAGGCGCCCACCACCATGCCCGGCTAATATTTTGTATTTTTAGTAGAGATGGGCTTCACCGTGTTAGCCAGGATGGTCTTGATCTCCTGACCTCGTGATCCACCCGCCTCGGCCTCCTAAAGTGCTGGGATTACAGGCGTAAGCCACTGCACCTGGCCAAGATTTTTTTTTTTTAAGAAACAGATTTCACGTGGTGGTGGGCGCCTTAATCCCAGCTACTTGAGAGGCTGAGGAGGGAGAATCGCTTGAACCCCGGAAACAGAGGTTGCAGTGAGCCGAGATCGCATCACTGCACTCCAGCCTGGGTGACAAGAGCGAAACTCCGTCTCAAAAAAAAAAAAAAAATAATAATAATAATTTAAAAAAAGATTTCCTTCCTTCTCTCCTCCCTCCTTTTTTCCTTCCTTCCTTTCTTTTTCTCTCTTTCTTTCTTTCTCTCTCTCTTCTTTCTTTGTCTCTTTCCTTTCTTTTCTTTCTAATTTGGCACACAAACACTTTATTTAAATGCATATCTCAATTCCTGTGCGGCTGGCAAATAAAATAAAGGAGCAGATCATGGCACAGCATTCTCATGGACCAAGTGGTCGAACCCAACATCCAAGACCCAGTGAGCAGCCAAGCTCAGTGCAACCTCCAGGCCTCTCGCTCTGACTCCAACAGGGTGAGCACATAGCCCTTGCGCATGGGGTCTTTTACACTGTGGATGATGGAGTGGCTTGTGTCTTCCATAAATTCCCGCATGCACTGTCCCTGAGAGCTGGTTCTGCCCAGGACCTTGGTGACCCTGGCTAGCTAGATAGGCTGCACATGGCTGGTGTCTGTGATGGCGATGCAGCAGCAGTTGGGCAGAGAGAAGAAATAGATTTCTTTACAAAGCAAGTAATTATTTAAAATATTCACGGTAATTCAGTATTCATTAGCTGTACTCAGTAAATATTTATTGAACAGCTACTATGTGCTAGGTACTCGCACAAAGTACACTGGTTACAAATTCTTGAAAAATAGTAGCGGTAGCAAAAAGCAACAAAACTTTCAGCCCTGCCCTTATGGAACTCACATTCTAGTGGGCAGGGAGAAAATAACCAGAAAAAGGCCCAGCACAATGGCTCATGCCTGTAATCCTAGCACTTTGGGAGGCCGAAGTGAGCTGATCAGTTGAGACCAGTCTGAGCAATGTGGCAAAACCCCATCTCTACAAAAAATACAAAAAGTACTCAGGCTTGGTGGTCAGCCGAGAGAGAGAGAGAGAAGGAAAGAAAGAGAGAGAGAAAGAAAGAAAAGAAAGAAAGAGGCCAGGCTCGGTGGCTCAGGCCTGTAATCCCAGCACTTTGCGAGGCTGAGGCGGGCGGATCACGAGGTCAGGAGTTCAAGACCAGCCTGGCCAATATGGTGAAACCCTGTCTCCACTAAAGAAAAATACAAAAATTAGCCAGGCATGATGGCGCGGGCCTGTAGTTCCAGTTACTCGGGAGGCTGAGGCAGAAGAATCGCTTGAACCTGGGAGGTGGAGGTTGCAGTGAGCCGAGATCGCGCCACTGCACTCCAGCCTGGGTGACAGAGCAAGACTGTCAAAAAAAAAAAGAAAGAAAGAAAATAACCAGAAAAAAAAAGTAAAAATATAGGACATTTTAGGTGAAGGTAAGCACTAGGAAAGAAAGAAAAAAAAAAGCAGGGAAGGGATGTTGGCCGGGGCGGGCGGAGGGGGGGATTTATACAGTTTGGCCAAGGAAGACATTATAATAATGCACTTATTCCTTAGTTTAGAACATGTAGCATTTCACCTGTACCGAGAGATGCCTGATATATTTCATACATGACCAAAATAATAATGTAAGAGGCAATAAAAAAGTGCAGGGTTTTAGGGTTCTAGATATCAGCACATTTTAAGATTAAATGCATGGTAAGAACTTTTGTACTATATACACCTAGTTTGAACTTAAATTTAATAACAAACTCTTTGGAGTCTCTCTCTCTCTCTTTTTTTTTTTTTCCCAAACATAGCTTCCCAAGGAGCAGAAGGGCTGAATTTTCTCTAGTTCCAGGAAGACCGCAAGGCTACTGTGCTCTGGATGTCTCGTTTTTATTTTTTTATTTTTTTATTCTCCAGATCTCAAGACGGTGTCTGGCACATACCATTCAATACAAGTTTGGTACCTGGAACCCACTGAATATGCATGTCCAGTAACTATTAACTACATGTGTTGGTGCAAGGGAGAAGGTCGAGCAACCGGATCTGCTCCATCATAGCCCGTCTCAGTCGCTTCATTCAAGTCAGCGGGGTGAGGTTGAGGGGATTCCAACTTCACAAGGGCAGATTTCTCATGGACTCTCTTTCTCTGGTTGTACTGGAACACTTTCTGGCGTTATTCCTCTGCTGGGACAGCATGAACTTATGAAACGTGGTCCTGTCTGCCCTAAAGCCAGGGTCTCACCGACAAGGACAGCGATGCTGGGGCGAGAAATAAAGTTCGTCCTGGGCCTGCGTACGGTACAGCGCCCTTGGGAAGCCCTTGTGGAGTTAAGGGTGATGCCCACTTCTTTGTCTCCCTCATTCTGTTTCGGTGGCTCTCTCGTTCCCAGTTCCAAGCTGCCCACTTGTTAGAGGAGCCACTGCTTACCAGGCATCTGGTTTAATAAAACATGGCTAGAGCGACTGCATGTTAAAGTGAGTAACTAGGCACTCACAAGGCACCTATAAGGTTAATGCTAAAGGTCTGAAAATAGCCGCATTCTAAGCTGACCAACAATTATAATTACACAATATTTATGGCCATACAGGACATCTCCCACCAAGTCTGCGGAATTGTCCAGATGTCCTGAGTTTTTTTTTTTTTTTTAGACAAGGTCTCACTTTGTCGCCCAGGCTAGGCTGGAGGGCAGTGTGGTGCGATCTCAGCTCACTGCAACCTCCGCCTCCCAGGTTCAAGTAGTTCTCCTGCCTCAGCCTCCTGAGTAGCTGGGACTACAGGCATGCACCACCACGCCTGGCTACTGGCTTTTTTTTTTTTTTTTTTTTTTTTAAATAGATGGCATCTCAGTATGTTGCCCAGGCTGGTCTCGAACTCCTGGGCTCAAGGGAGACTCCTGTCCGGCCTCCCACAGTGCTGGGATTACAGACGTGGCCACCGAGCCCGGCCCAGCCCTCTACTCAGAGATAACGTCAATGCGCAGGCTTAGGTTGAAGGATTAATGGTCATTAGTGCACCAACAGCCCCTACCTTTAGTGGGCACATCAGCACATTCCACGATTAATCACAGCTCCTCACAGCTGCCTCTAAGTAGTGACACTACCGAAGGACGGGAGTTCCTCCTCCTGCAGTCTGAGGACTTGCACTCTCTAACGGAGTAGATTCCAATAAACTTGCTTCCTTCACTGCGCTCTGTGACTCGCCTCCAATTCTTCCCTGAAGTAGACCCAAGAACCCTCTCTTGGGGTCTGGATCGAGACCCCTTTTTCCAGCAACACAACCCGCGGGGCCGCCTCCCGCCCACCCTCAGGTGCAGGAGACCCCGGGCCATGCATCCTTCCGGGCAGGAAAATGTCAGCCAGCGCTCGCCGGCCGCTTTCCTCCCCCGCCTCCCGAAGTTCTCGCCCGGTAGCTCCCCGACTGGCTCTCGCGCCGGACAAAGGCGCACGCTGATTGGCCGGAGGGCCGTAGTCATGCAGGACGCGCGACTCTAGGGGCGGGACCAGACAAGGGGTGACTGCCGCGCGGCGCGGGGGAGGAGACCTTCATCTGTTCACGCGGTAGCGCGGATTGCGGTTCGCGGCGCGCGCCACCGGGGAAGGAGCGGTGGGCCGAGGGGTTGGAGGTGGGGCCCCAGGAGGACCTCGGGCTGTGGGCCGGGAGAGCGGAGTCGGGGAGTGGGGCGGGGGAGCGAGGTGGCGCCGGGGAGCCTGGGATATGGCGCGGCCAGACGATGAGGAGGGGGCGGCGGTGGCGCCCGGACACCCGCTCGCGAAAGGATACCTCCCGTTGCCGAGGGGCGCGCCCGTTGGGAAGGAGAGCGTGGAGCTGCAGAACGGGCCCAAAGCGGGCACCTTCCCGGTGAATGGGGCCCCCCGGGACAGCCTCGCTGCCGCCTCGGGAGTTCTGGGCGGGCCTCAGACTCCACTGGCCCCAGAAGAGGAGACCCAGGCCCGGCTGCTGCCTGCGGGCGCGGGAGCTGAGACCCCGGGGGCCGAGAGCAGCCCGCTGCCCCTTACGGCGCTCTCCCCGCGGCGCTTCGTGGTGCTCCTGATCTTCAGCCTGTACTCGCTGGTCAACGCCTTTCAGTGGATCCAGTACAGCATCATTAGCAACGTCTTCGAGGGCTTCTACGGTGTCACCTTGCTGCACATCGACTGGCTGTCCATGGTGTACATGC
Organism: Homo sapiens; assembly: GCF_000001405.40. Lineage (NCBI taxonomy): Eukaryota > Metazoa > Chordata > Mammalia > Primates > Hominidae > Homo > Homo sapiens. The sequence goes on from NC_000001.11 coordinate 212,858,916, forward strand.
TGGCCTACGTGCCCCTCATCTTCCCGGCCACCTGGCTGCTGGACACCAGAGGCCTGCGGCTCACCGCCCTGCTGGGCTCCGGCCTCAACTGCCTGGGTGCCTGGATCAAGTGCGGCAGTGTGCAGCAGCATCTCTTCTGGGTCACCATGTTGGGCCAGTGCTTGTGCTCGGTGGCCCAGGTGTTCATCCTGGGCTTGCCCTCCCGCATCGCCTCAGTGTGGTTTGGGCCCAAAGAGGTGTCCACAGCTTGTGCCACCGCCGTGCTGGGCAATCAGGTAAGTACTGGAGTGGTAGGTGAAAGTCAGATCCTTAAAAGACCGGAAAAAGTCATAGGCCGTGAGAACTATGGCCTGTATGGATGAACTGCCCCAGGAGGTATTTGTCTATAAAAGAGGAGATGAAGCCGTTGAATAGGAGGCCGTCTTGGATTGAAGTGGGCTATAAATTTCTTTGTAAGGACAAAATTTTCCAAACGACCTTGTCATCTTGCTTTGAAAATTACCTATAAAATAATTAACTGGGCCGGGCGCGGTGGCACACACCTGTAATCCCAGCACTTTGGGAGGCCGAGGTGGGTGGATCACTTCAAGTCAGGAGTTCCAGACCAGCCTGGGCAACATGGGGAAACCCCGTCTCTGTTAAAAATACAGAAATTAGCCAGGCCTGCTTGCGGGTATCTGTAGTCCCAGCAACTCAGGAGGCTGAGGCAGGAGAATCTCTTGAACCCGGGAGGTGGAGGTTGCAGTGAGCGGAGATTGCACCTTTGCACTCCAGCTTGGGTGACAGAGTGAGACTCTGTCTCAAATAATAATAATAAACTGTAACCATAATAATAATAATAATAATTAACTGTATTGGCTTGTGTATGCCTAACATGGAAAATTTGTCAATGCAGTAACGAACAAGACTTGGGGTATTATTTTTGTCACCAGTGTATTTGTGAAAGGAAGGTATTGGGTTCTGGGAAGATTGTTTCCATTTTGAGAGGTCATTGTGAACAGCTCCCTTTTAATTTCATATATTAGCAGTCAGCACAGTTCCTGGCACATAAGGGACACATAAATGACTGCTAACCAAAAGTTCTGGGCTGGGCGTGGTGGCTCACGCCTGTAATCTCAGCACTTTGGGAGGCTGAGGCAGGCGGATCACTTGAGGCCAGGAGTCTGAGACCAGCCTGGCCAACATGGCAAAACCAAATACACAAAAATTAGTGGGGCATGGTGTGGTGCATGCCTGTAATTCCAGCTACTCAGGTGGCCAAGGCATGAGAATCTACATGCTTATTGCTTTATAGTCATTTCCCTTATCTAAAAGTACAGAAGATGGAGTAGGTTGAACTATAGTTGTTTGTCCAAAATAATTTATGACTGATACTTGAGTTGGTTGCATCTGCAGGTTTGGACAGAAGCTATTATAAAGTTTTTTGTGTGTGTGGTTTTTTTTTTTTTTTTTTGTAGAAATGGGGTTTCTCCATGTTGCTCATGCTTGTCTCGAACTGCTGAGCTCAAGCTCTCTGCCCACCTCTGCCTCCCGAAGTGCTGGGATTACAGGTGTGAACCACCACGCCCGGCCATGATTACATTTTCTTTGTCACACATCTCTCAGTTTAAATTCATTTTTAAATATTCAGTAGCATTTCTTGATCCCATTTAGAGTTGCCCAGTCACTCTCTTTACATTATTTTACTTTAATTCTCCTTATAGCACTCATCCCTGTCTCATATGTTATTGTTTACATGTTCATATGTTACTTACCTATTACTTTTCTCTTATCCCCACCATTAGATTGTAAGTTTCATGAAAATAGGAATGTGGTCTGAATGTACACAGCTGTATCACCAGCATTTATTACTCTCCATAAAACCATGTTGAATAAATAAAGGAGCTTCAGACTCATACAGATACTGGCCAGCTGGATAGTCTACTTGGATATCTCATGGGAACACACCACTCAAAATTGCTTTCTCCTTGCTCATTTCCCTTTATCTCTAATGCCACTGTCTTGGTTTGGGCCACCCACAGCTCTCACCTAGAGCTTGCTAACTGTCCTCCCTATCTGTAGCCCTTGCTGTCTTCCCTCTGTTCTCGCATTCATCCAGCGTGGTCTTTTACAATGTGCAAATCTGTTCCGGGCACATCCTTACCCCCTGCAGTGGCTTCCATTGTCCTTAGGATAAAATTCAAACACTCTAGTGTGACATATGGGACCCTCCAGATCTGCCTCCTGCCAGCCCTTCCACTTTATCTGTATGCACAACCCCTGTCCCCACAGACATATGCTTTCTCTGCTCTGTGCAGAACTATGCCTACTTATAGTTTCTCACAAGGTCGTGCCCTTTCCCTCCTGGCCTTGTATGTAATGTCCTGTTGGCTTGGAATATTTCTTCACTTGACTAACTCCAATTTCTTATTCAGATCTTTGCTCCTCCAGGAACTTTTTCTGAACCCCATTTCTTTTCATTCTTTTTGATAGCTGAATAATATTTCTATATAAGGTGCTCCCCCAAAGTACTCTCTTAGCTACCATGATCATATGTCCCAGTTTGCTTGGGATAGTCCAGGTGGTACACCTGTTGTCTGGTATGATTACTAATGAAGTCCCTTTCATTCTGAAGAGTATTCTAGATGGATAGTAAATTACGTGGTCTCCCCAGTCTTGGCACTGTTTACGTCTCAATCACAGTACTGTATTACCACCCTCTCTTGTAATTACCAGTTATATTCTTTCTATCTAGCTTTTTGTTTTATTTTTATTTATTTATTTATTTATTTTGAGATGGAGTCTTGCTCTGTCCCCCAGGCTGGAGTGCAGTGGCGCGATCTTGGCTCACTGCAAGCTCTGCCTCCCGGGTTCATGCCATTCTCCTGCCTCAGCCTCCCGTGTAGCTGGGACTACAGGCACCCGCCTCCACACCCGGCTAATTTTTTGTATTTTTTAGTAGAGACTGGGTTTCACCATGTTAGCCAGGATGGTCTCGATCTCCTGACCTCGTGATCCCCCCACCTCGGCCTCCCAAAGTGCTGGGATTACAGGTGTGAGCCACCGCGCCTGGCCTCTATCTAGCTTTTTGTAAGGGAGCAAATGAAATATTTGATAAGTGTGACTATCTCTGCCTCAGACTCCTTTCTTGGGCCCTTCCTCCTCACGCCCTTCCTCCTAAAAATCTTCCTCCTAAAAACCTTCCTCCATTGAACCTCCTAATAGTTTGATTTTATTTCTTGTGATTATGATATTTAGCCATATTTTTTGTTGAGGTAAAATTCACATAAATAAAACTAACCATTTTAATGTGTACAATTCAGTGGCGTTTAGTACATTTACAGTGTTGTGCAACTGTTACTTCTGTCTAGTTTCAAAACATTTTTATCCACCCGCAAAGAAGGCCCAATACCTACTAAACAGTCACTTCCCCACCATTGCCCCCTCCCCTAGCCTGTGGCAAGTACTAGTTTCCCTTCTCTTTCTGTGGATTGACCTGTTCTGGATATTTCATATAAATGGAATCATACAGTAGGTGACCTTTTGTGTCTGGCTTCTTTCACTTAGCTTATTTGCAAAGTTCATCCATGTTGTAGCACTGTATCAGTACTTCATTCCTTTTTAATAGCTGAATAATATTTCATTGTATGAATATACCACATTTTGTTTATCCATTTATCTGTTGATAAATGTTTGGGTTATTTTCACCTTTTGGTTATTGTGGTAATGTGAATAGGGCTGCTGTGAACATTCATATGTAATTATTTGTTTGAATTTCTGTTTTCAGTTTTGGGGACATATACCTAGGAGTAGAATTGCTAGGTCATATGGTAATTCTATGTTAAACTTATTAAGGAACTGCCAAACTTGTCTGCAGTGGCTGCACCATTTTATAGTCCCACCAGCCGTATTCAAGGGTTCCAATTTTTCCACATTCTTGCCAACACTTTTATATTGCTATTATTGTTATTATAGTAGCCATGCTACCTGGTGTGGAGTGGTATCTTATGGTTTTGATTCGGGCATGTTTTCAAATGCTTATTGACCATTTGTATATCTTCTTTGGAGAAATGTCTATTCAAGTCTTTTGCCCATTTTAAAATTGGGATATTGCTTTTTTGTTGTTGAGCTGTAATAGTTCTTTATATATTCTGGAAGCTATACCCTGATCAGATATATAATTTACAAATTTTTCTGATTCTGTAGGTCATCTTTTGTCAGCCTTATTTTGCATATTCTTATTCCCCTTTTGTAAGCATCTGCAGGGCAAGGACTGTATATTACACAGCTTTATAATAGCAGCATCACTCAGATGGTAGGAACTCAGTAAATGTTTTTTGGATAGGAGAGATATTGGTGAGCAATTTCCCTTTAACAATACAATAGTAAAAAAGACATTAGAGCATAGTAGTTTAGGCTGGGTGCAGTGGCTCACGCCTGTAATCCCAGCACTTTGGGAGGCCGAGGCGGGCGGATCATGAGGTCAGGAGTTCGACACCAGCCTGACCAACATGGTGAAACCCCGTCTGTACTAAAATACAAAAATTAGCTGGGCGTTGTGGCGCGCGCCTGTAATCCCAGCTACTCAGGAGGCTGAGGCAGGAGAATTGCTTGAACCTGGGAGGGAGAGGTTGCAGTGAGCCAAGATTGCGTCACTGCACTCCAGCCTGGGAGACAGACTTTGTCTCAAAAAAAAAAAAAAGAACATAATAGTTTAATTTTCAAAGCACCTTTATAAACACTAGCTGTCCTCTTTATGTTCTGTTAATTGCCAGCATTTACTTTTTTCTCTAATGATAATAGCTGTTAACAGGACTATGTGTTTTTCAGCTTGGAACTGCAGTTGGCTTTTTGCTACCACCAGTTTTAGTACCCAACACACAGAATGACACAAATCTCCTGGCTTGTAATATCAGCACCATGTTTTATGGAACATCAGCTGTTGCCACACTTTTATTTATTTTAACAGCAATTGGTAAGTGAATTACTTTCCCTAAAGCTTAAATGAATGCATGATAGAAATTTGAGAATAACTAACTCTGGAAATTTTTGTTGATAATATCTCAAGTGTCATGTGCTTTGTTTCATTCTTCCATGCCCTGTCTTGCTCAGGTAATGAATGCTACAACCCTAGGGATGTTATGGCCCACTACATTTATTTTCACATTGTGAAGGGTTTGAAGACTAATTCATTTATCCCTCTACTAACTTTTCTTCTTGGTAACTGTTGGTTTCAAATATATTACCTGCCTCCTCTTCCCATATTCGCCTACATGGTCTGCATCTTATGCCTCTTATGCCTACCTAGCCAGGAACAAGTTCTTGCCATGCTTTGAAGTGATGCACGTAGGCTATGGTCTTTCTGGTAATGCTAAATTCTCCCAAGGCTTTCCAATTTAACAATTAACTGGATCTGAAAATGTTGACTAGTGAATGGTCCTGGGCAGCAGCAAGCTGTTCAGCAGAATTTCAAACTGTGGCAACTATCTACTTGTTAGGCCACTCCAGCAAAGCACGGCTGCCACCACTCGTCACTGAGTCCTCTCGTCTGAGCCTGTCTCTTGAAGCAGTCAGTCAAAATCAACTGCAAGCAGCCATCATCAGTTTGGAAGAAGCTTTGGGAAGGTCTGCTTTTTAAAGTTTATTTTTAATGGGAAACTTTTGATTTCAGGGAAAAGGATAGGTAAGGTTTATTTAAGTAATATAGCTGCTAGCATAACTATAATATTGCCCTTTAGGCACTCATCTGAAATTGATTTGAAGAGGAAAAGAACTAATAAAGTTGAAATGCCATCTTTTAATCATTCAAATTTATAATTTCATTATAGCTGGAGTTTTAAATTTATATACTAGTTTTTACAATGGCTATAATAGTAATGGAAAATTCATATTTTGTGATCTCCAGATATAAAATTCTTAGTTTTCAAAGAAATGTATGCTGAAGATTCTAGAGTGTTTGGGTAGAGACTGCCTTGGTAGATGAACTGCAGGATCCAGGTACAGGAAGCTCAGCCCACATACTTAATTTCCCTTAATATAATGAGCAGAATGTTCTCTTGGTAACATATGAAGTATTCAAACATGTGTAATCCACTTGTTGGTTTTGGTTTTCAGTTAGTTATGGAGTGGCATATTTGTGATGTGCAGACTACTAAGAAGGACACATTATTCCTATCCTATTTTAGCAGTTTAGCAAAGTTTTAAAAGAAATTTGTATTCTTAAAAAAAAAACACCAAAATTCTTTTTTTTTTTATTATAAGTTTTAGGGTACATGTGCACAACGTGCAGGTTTGTTACATATGTATACATGTGCCATGTTGGTGTGCTGCACCCATTAACTCGTCATTTACATTAGGTATATCTCCTAATGCTATCCCTCCCCCCACCCCCCATCCCACAATAGGTCCCGGTGTGTGATGTTCCCCTTCCAGTGTCCATGTGTTCTCATTGTTCAGTTCCCACCTATGAGTGAGAGCATGCGGTAAAAACACCACAATTCTTAAGTCTGCTTTTCTGGTAGCCATGTTTGATTTGCTAGATGAAATAGGAAATACATTTTGCATAAATGGACCTTCCATTTGCAATAGGGATTTTTTTTTTTTTTTGAGACAGAGTCTCGCTCTGTCACCCAGGCTGGAGTGCAGTGGCATGATCTCAGCTCACTGAAACCTCTACCTCCCAAGTTCAAGTGATTCTCCTGCCTCAGCCTCCCGAGCAGCTGGGCTTACAGGCATGCACCACCATGCCAGCTAATTTTTGTATTTTCAGTAGAGACAGGGTTTCACCATGTTGGTCAGGTTGGTCTCAAACTCCTGACCTCAAATGATCCACCTGCCTCAACCTCCCAAAGTGCTGGGATTATAGGCATGAGCCACCAGGCCCGGCCAGCAATAGGGATTTTTAAAGTATAGAATTCTCTCTCTTTTTTTTTTTTTATCAAGACGGAGTCTCGCTCTGTCACCCAGGCTGGAGGGCAGTGGCGCTATCTGGACTCACTGCAATCTCTGCCTCCTGGGTTCAAGCAGTTCTCGTGCCTCAGCCTCCCTCCCTGGGATTACAGGCATTTGGCTAATTTTTGGGGTTTGGTTTTTTTTTTTTTTTTTTTTTGAGACAGAGTCTTGCTCTGTCAGCCAGGCTGGAGTGCAGTGGCGCAATTTCGACTCACTGCAACCTCTGCCTCCCACATTCAAGGGATTCTTGTGCCTCAGCCTCCCAAGTAGCTGAGATTACAGGCGCGTGCCACCATGCCTGGCTAATTTTTGTATTTTTAGTAGAGACGGGGTTTCACCATGTTGGCCAGGCTGGTCTCGAACTTCTGACCTCAGGTGATCTGCCCGCCTTGGCCTCCCAAAGTGCTGGAATTACAGGCATGAGCCACCGAGCCCGGCCTTTTTTGTGTGTTTTTAGTAGAGATGGGGTTTCACCATGTTGGCCAGTCTGGTCTCGAACTCCTGACCTCAAATGATCTGCCTGCCTCGGCCTCCCAAAGGGCTGGGATTACTGGTGTGAGCCACTGCACCCGGCCAAAATTCTCTTTCTTTTGATTACTTTTGTGTCTTCACATAAATTCTGATTTTCCTTTTTTTTTTTTTTTAAATCCTCTTCAATTGCTTGTCTCAGAAAGAAGTGAGAAAGTAAGAGATTGCATGTAAGATATCACGAAATCATACATGTGATGTGTGTATGTTTAAACTGCTACAAATAAAAGATCTTTACTTGTTGAAGGAGGGAGACCAAGAATGATAATAATAGGTATGACTATTGGCATATTACCCTTTGTTATTTGAGAAATTAAAAGAGATCTGATTATGTACTTAACTAATTATGTACTCATGGCCTACAGGTAGAGAGTGGAAATAGAAATGAGGGGAAAATAATGGGAAATATGGCATTAAACAAAGGCTCTTTGTCAACTTTTGCTTGGAGGACTCTAATTTTAATTTTATGATCCCAAGCATATTATAAAAGCAAGATAGTATACAGCTGTGATATGAAAGTCTTAAGTTGAAAATTGTGACATTTAAATAGAACACATACTTGTTTTCCTCATTCCCAAATATTTGCTATTGAGCAAACTTTGGATTACTTAAAAAAATCCATACCAAATAAAGTTCCTTAATTACTAAAAGGTGATTTTACTTCTCTCTGAATTCTATCCATACTTACTTTGGAAGTCCCACCACGTCCTCATAAAATAATTTAATTTTGTTGAGATTTTTCCGCAACGTGACATGTACTAAATTGATACTCAGCAGTCTGCTTAAAATATTTTCTCAAAGGTTCATGCCATGTAACTGTTCCTCTCCCTCATGGAGCTTATATTGAGTATAATCCATCTAGTGTTTCCAGGAATTAACCCAAGCATTCCACTGAATTTCACACTAATACCCTATTCCTATTAGGAGAACTCTATTATAGCCTCAAACATTTGGTTTGTTGGTATGTGCCAAACATGTTTGGAGGCTTACTACATGCTGTATCTCATTTAATCCTCATGACTCTGTGAGGAGGGTACCAATATTCCCATTTTATAGACAAGGAAACTGAGGCACAGAATTTAGTTAAATCTAATTTGTCCAAGGTTATAGTAAACACTGAAGGTCAGATTTAAGCCTAGACAATTTAACTCCCTATATAAAAGTTACAGATAAAAAATAACATTTTAATTTTTACTGAGCCTTATTTTTTGTTCGAATTCAGATTCTTGCATAAGTGGTAATGCTGTTGTATTTAAAAGCTGTTCTTGTGCAGCAGAGCAGTAAACTATGTCATTTAACTCATGTGTCAATTAAAATACTTTCCTGATTCACTAAAATGAGTGGATGACAGAAGCCAAAAGTAATCACAATAAAAATATTTAATATTAATATGCTTAAACACATAAGCATATAATGTGTGCATAATTTTACTTTTTTTTTTTTTTTTTGAGATGGAGTCTCGCTCTTTCACCCAGGCAGGAGTACAGTGGCGCGATCTTGGCTCACTGCAAGCTCTGCCTCCCGGGTTCACACCATTCTCCTGCCTCAGCCTCCTGAGTAGCTGGGACTACAGGCACCCACCACCGCGCCCGGCTAATTTTTTGTATTTTTAGTAGAGATGGGGTTTCACCGTGTTAGCCAGGATGGTCTCGATCTCCTGACCTCATGATTCGCCCACCTCAGCCTCTCAAAGTGCTGGGATTACAGGTGTGATAATTTTACTTTTAATTCTTTTTTAAGAGATGGGGTCTCGCCCTGTCACCCAGGCTGGAGTGCAGTGGCACAATCTCAGCTCACTGCACCCTTGATCTCCTGGCCAGCCTTAAGCAATCTTCCTACCTCAGCCCTCTGAGTAGCTGGGACTACAGGTGTGTGCTATCATGCCTGGCTATTTTTTATATTTTTTGTAGACAGGGTTTCACCATGTTGCCCAGGCTGTTCCCAGCTTGCCTTGGGCTCCCAAAGTGCTGGGATTACAGGCATGAGCCACCATGCCCAGCTGCTTTTGATTCTTAATTCAAGATATCTATAAACTTTATTTTATTTTATTTTATTTTGAGACAGAGTTTAGCTCTTGTTGCCCAGGCTGGAGTGCAGTGACGCGATCTCCGCTCACCGCAACCTCTGCCTCCCGGATTCAAGCCATTCTGCTCAGCCTCCCGAGTAGCTGGAATTACAGGCGTGCACCACCACACCCGGCTAATTTTGTATTTTTAGTAGAGGCAGGGTTTCTCCATGTTGGTCAGGCTGGATTCAAACTCCTGACCTCAGGTGATCCGCTTGTCTCGGCCTCCCAAAGTGCTGGGATTATAGGCGTGAACCACCATGCCTGGCCCGGCTGCATACTCTTAACAGAAATACATTTAACTTAGTCTGTAAGAATTTCAAACTCCTGAGGCAGTCTCTGATTTTTTTAAATAAATATTCCTCAAAAAAAGACAATATTTTTGTGTTGCACTTGATAATTACAGAATTATTTTACATATATTGTATCATGTAATCTTCATAACAGCTTGCTATTGTTATTTACATTTTATCGATGAGAAAGCTGTAAAGGTGAGAGACAGGAGTTTACTTCCTCAAAGTCATACAGTGAGCTGAGGCAGAGCCAGGATTCAAACATTTATTTGTCTTATAATAACCTAATATATGTAATATATGCCTGAATCACACAGGGACAAATAACGAAATTTTAAAAATGTTAAAATACGGTTTTAAAATGTAAAAGTAGCCCTAAACAGCAATAGATTTGCAACGTATTCATCACAGGAGGAAAAGTTTGAATGTGGTGCTCGAGAATATTTTGGCTACTTTATAAGACTAACACCAGAAGTGGAGAATAACTGCTTCAAATAATCAGTTGTTTTATTGGTGCAAATTTTTGGTTGGGAGAAGACAATAGAAAGCTATTATTTTTCTGTTTCAAAGGAGAAAGAAGAAGCCATATTTCATCCTTTGAAAGTAGCAGTTAGGTGTAAACAAGGCCATAGATCCATGGCTTTTTGTTTCTCTTTCTTCAAGTAGACTTAAGTTCGACTTTCCTACAACATGTAGCTGGTAAATACAGGCTTGATTTTTGCCAAAAGATAGTTTGACTTCCTGAAACTAACAGATAACTCTTGTATTCAAAAAATAAATGTAATGGATTTAAAGACTGGTAAGAAGTATTTTCTTTTCTTTTCATTTTTGAGACACAGTTTCACTCTGTCGCCCAGGCTGGAGTGCGGTGGTGCGACCTTGGCTCACAGCAACCTCCGCCTCCTGGGTTCAAGTGATTCTCCTGCCTCAGCCTCCTAGCTGGGATTAAGGTGCCCACCACCCCTGGCTAATTTTTGTGTTTTTAGTAGAGACAAGTTTTTGCCATGTTGGCCAGGCTGGTCTCCAACTCTTGACCTCAGGTGAGTTGCCCGCCTCAGGCCTCCCAAAGTGTTGGGATTAGAGGCGTGAGCCTCTGCGCCCAGCCAGAAGTCAGAAATATTTTCATTTTTGCATTTCAGTTCAGATTTGGGCCATTTAGATTTATTTTGCCATGGTAAATAAAAAAGTAAGAGACTTAAGATTCATTAAATACCCATGACTACCTTGTAAGCATAGTTTTTATTTTCTGAAACTTTGTTTTATAACTATGTGAGTTCTGCATTACCAATCTTAGTAAGAAGAGATATTTCCTATCTGATTAGGATACAAAGAGACTCAGGAAAAGACAACAGACATCCTAACAGTACAAGATCAGATAGAATGAAAGGAAGAGGAGGATTTGCAACTTAAACCTTTTATGTGTACCAGCCTTCCAATGTAAGGATATTAAAAAGTAAATATTTATGAGTTATATCTCCTCTTTAATTAGTTGTAAGATCTGTAAAAAGAAAAGTATATTTTAGTTTGATAAGTTTTAGTTATATCACAGTTAATGTGTTGGTCAGCAATGAACTGTAATTTAAAAAATTTTTAGCAGCAAACAGGAAAATTAGAGAATTGTAGTATTTCATGGAAATTTTAAGGGTCATTTCTTACTTTCCCAGTGATTGTTTCTCCCTGGCTGGTTTTCAAAAGCATTTGGGGAGTTTCGTGTTTAAAACAGTTTCTTTGGCTTCATCCTGGAGTTTCTGATTCATTGAGCCTTGGGTAGAATCTCAAAATCTGTATTATTTTTAATTTCCAAATGATTCCAGTTGCTAGGTCCATCAGATCTAACCCTCTTTCAAACACAAAGCAGGTCTTCCTTGTTGGAAGAAAGAAATAGCCAATTAAAAAAAAATCCTAATTTCTATTAAAAAAAATTTTTTTTCTTGCTGTCTGGCTGAGAATGGCAGAAAAATCCTAATTTCTAAAAAAAATTCCTAAACAATATTATTTACTGAATCCATTTACCTTCTTTTTTCTTTCTGTTTCTTTTTGTTTGTTTTGTTTTTTGAGATAGTCTCACTCCGTTGCCCCGGCTGGAGTGCAGTAGCACAATCTCAGCTCACTGCAACCTCCACCTCCTGGGTTTGAGCAATTCCTGCCTCAGCCTCCTAAGTAGCTGTAACTACAGGCATGTGCCACCATTAATGCCTGGCTAATTTTTGTAATTTTTTGTAGAGACGGGGTTTCACCATGTTGGCCAGGCTGGTCTCGAACTCCTGACCTCACATGATCCACCTGCCTCGGCCTCCCAAAGTGCTGGGATTACAGGTGTGAGCCACTGTGCCGGGCTTCTTTTTTCTTTTTGAATTTACCCTGTTTCATCAATCTTGAGGTATACCTTTTTCATGAAATCTCTGAAATCAAGATGCCTTTAATAATCAGTGGCATCTAACATTTGTGGTAATTGAGATATGGTTATGTGAAAACCTTCTATTGATACCTGGCAAGATCATTGACTGCAAGTATTAGAGTATCTTAGATTCAATGAAGTACAGTATTTTCCTTCTATTGTAATTAACAATTTTGAGAGAGTTTAAAGTTTTGAGTCAATACAAAGTCTAGATTTTAATTTCTGCTGTACCATATTTTAGCAGTTCAGCCCTTCTGTAAATAGTTTTTTGTGTTTTTTGTTTGTTTTTTACAGACAAGGTCTTGCTTTATCACCTAGGCTAGAGTGTAGTGATATGATCCCAGCTCACTGCAGCCTGTATTCCTGGGCTCAGTGAAGCGATCCTGAAGCGATCCTCTCGCTTCAGCCTCGCAAGTAGCTAGGATTACAGGTGCATGCTGCCATGCATAGCTAGTTTAAACAATTTTTTTCTAGAGACAGTCTTGTACAAGTGATGGACCCACTTTGACCTCCCAAAGTGCTGAGATTACAAAAGTGAGCACCATGCCTGACCTGTGAATTAGTCTTGACTTCTGGTTAGCCTAACCCTAAAGAAATCTCTCTCTAGTCATCTTTTATGGAAAGTTGGTCGATCTTTCCTGCACAGCAAAAAGGTGGTCTCTAGATGTTGTCTGCCTGGGGTGGCTGTGAAATTTCTAACTAGAAATGGATAGCGCTAAAACTTAGAGTGTCAGACACCATATACCACCACACTTTTATGTCTCTTAGCTCTACCCCTGTACTTTCCATATGAAGCTCAAGTGAGTTAGCAAGACCTAGCTCTGCTTCCATGAATCTACCTGGAGTTTTTCAATCCCAGAGGTGCAGTTGGATCAGATGATAAACTTTATATCACATTTCAGAAGAAAATGGTTACTAACTCAAGTCTTTTAAAAGTTCAATAGTATATTGGCTTCCTCATATCTGATTTTTTATTTCTTTTATTTTCCTTTTTTTTTGTTTTGAGACAGGGTCCTGCTCTGTTGCCCAGGCTGGAGTGCAATGGCGCAGTCACAGCTCACTGCAGCCTTGACCTCCCAGGCTCAAGGGTTCTTCCCCCTTCAACCTCCCAAAGAGCTGGGATTACAGGCATGAGCCACTGTGCCCAGCCTTCATGTTTATCTCTAATTACAAATTGAACTGAATTTAAAAGTAGAATTGTTGAATATTTAATGTAGTAAAAATTAGTCTTTCTTAGGTAAAAATAGAATAATCAGTAGGCAAGGTTGTGGCATATTATTGATGGTTTTGCAGTTCACTTATATGAATTGGCCATATCTCTGAGTTTTAGTCAGTTTCAGAGAACTGAGATGACAGTGTTAAACTATTCTTCACTTAGAAATCAGTGAAAATGAAAACCCTTACCATAAAAGACTTATATACCTCTTTAAACTTAAACTGTATTCTGTCTGCTCACTAAGAATGATACATATAATTACATATTGTAATATATAACAACATATTGTATATATATTAAATATACATAATCCTTTTCGTGTATATTCTCAGCCTTCAAAGAAAAACCTCGGTATCCACCAAGTCAGGCTCAAGCAGCTCTTCAAGACAGTCCCCCTGAAGAGTACTCCTATAAGAAATCAATAAGAAACCTGTTTAAAAACATTCCTTTTGTCCTTCTGTTGATCACTTATGGTAAGTGGTTTTCTTGTACTTTCTTTAATGTCTGTGTGAGCCTTTCAGCATTGTGGATTCTTTTCATTTAACCTAGTGGTTTGAACTTCAATGAGATTGGCCTGTTAACTCTACAGCATAATCATGAACTTAAACTAAAAGCAGAAAATCCAGGATGGATCTTCTTACATATTTTTAAAAATAATAATTTTTAAAAGGTAGTTTTTGGCCAGGCATGATGGCTCATGCTGGTAATCCCAGCACTTGAGTTGGCCGAGGTATGTGGATCACTTGATGTCAGGAGTTGCATGTCAGGACTAGCATGGTGAACATGGTGAAACCCCATCTCTACTAAAAATACAAAAATCAGCTGGGCATGGTGGCACACGCCTGTAATCCCGGCTACTCAGGTGGCTGAGGCAGGAGAATCGCTTGAACCTAGAAGGCAGAGGTGGCAGTGAGCCAAGATTGCGCCACTGCACTCCAGCCTGGGCAATAGAGTGAGACTATCTCAAAAAAAAAATAAAAGAAAGAAAAGAAAAGTAGTTCTCAAATACAGAAACTCGGTCTTCTTTTGTGAGTTCTCATGGAGTATTTTAGGCCATTTGTGAACTATAGTTATCCTGATGTAAGCAGGTGGGAAATGCTATCAACAATACTTTTCTTTGACACTGTGCAAGCTGGCATCTGTTTTGATTACTCAGTCAAAAGTGGACATTAAGGAACTCACCTTAACCAGTTCTGACATCTAAGAAAATTCTCTCTCTCCACATCTTTCAGGATAGCTGACAGATATTCATCCTGACACTGTAGCTTTGACTGCAGACACCAACACACTTGGTTTTCTTCAGAGTTTTCTGACGGTTCATTCTTTGTTTCTTGTGTTAACACCATTTACATGAACACCAGCACTCCCTATTTCTGTCTTACTTGCCTCCAGAAATCACTCACTGCTATTCTCTGTTTCACATTTTTTGGGGAAACACACTCTAGTACATAAATGTTTTACAAGTTGTAACCAATTAAGTCCGGACCTAAACTATTTTTATCAGGATTAGTTCCTTTTTTTTTCAGTAGAAATTGCTAATCACCAAAGTTGAACATTTAATCTAATTCCTATATACCCATATCCTGTGTATGGCATCATCCAGCTTCAACAGTTATCAATATTTTGCCATTCTTGCTTCATCTATTTCCTCCAGTTTTTTTCCTGGAATGTATTTTTTTAAGACGGAGTTTTGCTCTTGTTGCCCAGACTGGAGTGCAGTGGCACAATCTCAGCTCATTGCAACCTCTGCCTCCCGGGTTCAAGCAATTCTCCTGCCTCAGCCTCCCAAGTAGCTGGGATTACAGGCCCCTGCAACCATGCCTGGCTAATTTTTCATATTTTTAGTAGAGAAGGGGTTTCACCATGTTGGCCAGGCTGGTCTCAAACTCCTGACCACAGGTGATCTGCCCGCCTTGGCCTCCGAAAGTGCGGGATTACAGGCGTGAGCCAAAATGCCCGGCCTTTCCTGGAATATTTTAAAGCAAATCCCAGGTGCCATATCTCATCCTTATATATTAATACTTTTGCATGACATAGTTCATTTTCTTAATTTTGCTGGTTATCTCCTTGTTTAGGTTAAACCTAAAATTCCTAATTAGATATAGAGAAAATATAGTGGCTTATTGTTAAATAGTAGAGCAAATTCATTTCTTTTGCCTGTCATTTAATTTTCTTTTTTTCTTTTTTTTTTTTTTTTTTTTGAGATGGAGTTTCTCTCTGTCACCCAGGTTGGAGGACAGTGGTATGATCTCGGCTCACTGCAACCTCCACCTCTCAGGTTCAAGCAATTCTCCTGCTTCAGCCTCCCTAGTAGCTGAGATTACAGGCACATGCCACCACGCCCAGCTAATTTTTGTTTTTTTAGTAGAGGCGGGGTTTCACCATGTTGACCAGGCTGGTCTCAAACTCCTGACCTTGTGATCTGCCTACCTTGGCCTCCCAAAATGTTGGGATTACAGGCGTGAGCCACTGCATCCGGCCTGGCTTTTTTCTTATCACTCTTTTATCACTCACTTTCCCAATACAAAATTCTCTTTCAGCCACACTTATAACCAACCCTGTCACAGACGTACACACACACACACACACACACACAGACACATCTCCACATGCATATACACTGTTAATTCTAGTCTCTGTAATTTTGTGCCAATATTTCTTTTACCGGAAATGTGCTTCTTTTTTCTGTAAGCAATCCTATAAGAGCTGGCTTAATGTTTGCCTCACTTATTGTTCATTTTCGTGTTCATTCTTTTATTTATTTATTCCATCAATAGCTATCAAATACCAACTAAATGTATAGTAGTGCTCTAGATGCCTTGTGGCTAGAAAGAGGCATGATATATGATTTCTGCCCATAGGAAATTGATCATCTAATTGGGGAGATAATATAAACATCTGAAAAGTAACAATATAGTCGGTATTTATCAAAAGGATAACAACACAAGATGAGTTGTATGGCAAGTGCATGCTGAAGCCCTTCATTGAGGCCTATCATTGAGAAAGGATAAATGAAGGGAAGCCCTAGGGATGGCCGGGAGAGTCTCACAGAAGGGAGTGGTTGAGCTGGGCCTTGAAGAGAGGGTTGGATTTGAATAGACAAAGGGGAGGAAGAAAATGGCACCAGCGAGGGTGTTAGATGGTGCCTTCAGTGAATACTCAGGTATCTGTGGAGTTTTGGTGTCTTTGATACCACATCACTTAATACTTACTGGGGCTGGGCACAGTGGCTCACTCCTGTAATCCCAACACTTTGGGAGGCCAAGGTGGGTGGATCACTTGAGGCCAGTTCAAGACCAGCCTGGCCAATGTGGCAAAACCCCATGTTTACTAAAAATACAAAAATTAGCTGGGCATGGTGGGTGCGCACCTATAGTCCTAGCTACTCGGGAGGCTGAGGCAGGAGAATCGCTTGAACCCAGGAGGCAAAGGTTGCAGTAAGCTGAGATCGTGCCACTGCACTCCAGCCTGGGTGACGGAGCAAGACTCCATCTGAGAAAAAAAAAAACAAAAAACTTGACTATACATAAAAATGATTAAGTTAATTGCAATCTCGGTTTTATTGGTCTCTCAGTCTGTCACCCAGGCTGGAGTGCAGTGGCGTGATCTTGGCTCACTGCAACCTCCACCTCGCAGGTTCAAGCAATTCTCCTGCCTCAGCTTCCCGAGTAGCTGAGACTACAGGTGTGTGCTACCACACTTGGCTGATATTTGTGTTTTTAGTAGAGATGGGGTTTTGCCATATTAGCCAGGTTGGTCTCGAATTCCTGACCTCAGGCATCACCTAGGTATTAAGCCTAGCATCCATTAGCTATTATTTCTGATGCTCTTCCTCCCCCAAACCCCAAAGGTCCCAATGTGTGTTATTTCCACCCCTCGTGCACCATGTGTCCATGTGTTCTCATCATTCCGCTCCCACTTATAAGTGAGAACATGTTGTGGTTGGTTTTCTGTTCTTGCCTTAGTTTGCTGAGAATAACTGCTTCCAGCTCCATCCATGTCCCTGCAAAGGACATGATCTCATTTCTTTTTTTTTTTTTTGAGATGGAGTTTCACTCCTATTGCCCAGGCTGGAGTGCACACAATCTCGGCTCACTGCAACCTCCGCCTCCCAGGTTCAGGTGATTCTCCTGCCTCAGCCTCCCGAGTAGCTGGGATTACAGGCAAGTGCCAACACGTCCAGCTAATTTTTGTATTTTTAGTAGAGACAGGGTTTCACCATGTTGGCTAGGCTGGTCTCGAACTCCTGACCTCAGGTGATTCACTGCCTCAGCCTCCCAAAGTGCCAAGATTACAGGTGTGAGCCACTGCGCCCGGCCTGATCTCATTTCTTTTTGGCTGCATAGTATTCCATGGTGTAAACATACCACATTTTCTTTATCCAGTCTATTATTGATGGGCATTTGGGTTGATTCCGTGTCTTTGCTATTGTGAAGAGTGCTGCAGTGAACATACACTTGCATGTATCTTTATAATAGAATGATTTATATTCCTTTGGGTGTGTACCCAGTAATGGGATTGGTGGGTCAAATGGTATTTCTCCTTCTATGTCTTGGAAATTGTCACACTGTCTTCTACAATGGTTGAATTAATTTGTACTCCCTCCAGCAGTGTAAAAGTGTTCCTTTTTCTCCACAACCTTGCCAGCATCTGTTGTTTCTTGACATTTTAATAATCGTCATTCTGACTGGCATGAAATGGTATCTCATTGTGGTTTTGATTTGCATTTCTCTAATTATCAGTGATGTTGAGCTTTTTTTTCATGTTTCTTGGCCACATAAATGTCTTTTTTTTTTTTTTTTTTTTTTGAGAGAGAGTCTCGCTCTGTCGCCCAGGCTGGAGTGCAGTGGCATGATCTTGGCTCACTGCAAGCTCTGCCTCCCGGGTTCACACCATTCTCCTGCCTCAGCCTCCTGTTGTTTATATTATATTTTAATATAAACAATAGATGTTTATATTATCTCCCCAATTAGATGATCAGTACTCCCTCCCGAGTAGCTGGGACTACAGGCACCCGCCACCACGCCCAGCTAATTTTTTGTAATTTTTAGTAGAGACGGGGTTTCACCGTGTTAGCCAGGATGGTCTCGATGTCCTGACCTCATGATCTGCCTGCCTCAGCCTCCCAAAGTGCTGGGATTACAGGCGTGAGCCACCGCGCCTGGCCATGAATGTCTTTTGAGAAGTGTTTGTTCATGTTCTTTGCCCACTTTTTAATGAGGTTTTTTTTTCTTGTAAATTTAAATTCCTTGTAGACTCTGGATAATTAGATCTTTGTCAGGTGGATAAATTGCAAACATTTTCTCCCATTCTGTAAGTTGTCTGTTCACTCTGATGATAGTTTTTTTTTTTTTTTTTGCTGTGCAGAAGCTCTTTAGTTTAATTAGGTGCCAATGAATGAACTTTCTGAACCTGATAAAGCTTATCTACAAAGACCCTATAGCAAATATTATACTAAAGGCAAAAGTTAGAGCCATTATCCTTAAGAATCAATAAGAAGTATCCTTAAGGATATTTATTGTCATCACTTCTGTTCAACATCTAACTGGAGGTCCTGGCTGGCTCAGTAACACAAGAAAGAAGAAAAGGTATACGAAACAGAAAAAAAGGTGTTATTGCTCATAGTATGATTCTGCATATCAGAGGTCAGCAAACCATGACCCATGAGCCAAATCTGGACATTGCCTGTTTTTATATTAAAGTTTTGTTTGACTACATATTGTCTATAGCTGCTTTTGAACTACCAGGGCAGAGTTGAGTAGTGACATTAGTTACATTAGAGACCGTATGTCCTACAAAGCTAACAAAGGTTTACTACCTGGTCCTTTACAGAAAATGTTTAGTGATCACCCATCTATTAAAATAATACAAGAGAGACCAGGCGCGGTGGCTCAGGCCTGTAATCCAAGAACTTTGGGAGGCCGAGGCGGGCGGATCACGAGGTCAGGAGATCGAGACCATCCTGGCTAACATGGTGAAACCCTGTCTCTTCTAAAAATACAAAAAATGAGCCGGGCATGGTGGTGGGTGCCTGTAGTCCCAGCTACTCGGGAGGCTGAGGCAGGAGAATGGCGTGAACCTGAGAGGTCCGCCTCTCAGTGAGAGGCACTTGCAGTAAGTCCGCTTGCAGTGAGCTGAGATCGCACCACTGCAACTCCAGCCTGGGCGACAGAGTGAGTCTCCGTCTCAAAAAAAAAAAAAAAAAAAAATACAAGAGAACCTAGAGACAACTATTAAAACTAATAAGAATGAGTTAGCAAAGTT
Source organism: Homo sapiens (assembly GCF_000001405.40). NCBI lineage: Eukaryota > Metazoa > Chordata > Mammalia > Primates > Hominidae > Homo > Homo sapiens. The sequence continues at coordinate 212,878,610 of NC_000001.11, forward strand.
ACTAAATAGCTGACAATGTGAAAATATCAATTGCATTCCTATGTATATATAGGTATTGTATTCCTATGAAAAGATATCTTTTATAATAGCAACTAAAACTATAAAGATATCTTAGAATAAATACACCAAAAGAACTTCATAGAGAAAATTAGAAAACATTGAAAGGGATAAAGGGAGACCTGCATCCTAGGCAATGTGGCAAAACCTCATCTCTACAAAAAATACAAAAATTAGCCAGACACGGTGTTCTGTGCCTGTAGTCCCAGCTAGTTGTGGGGCTGAGATAGGAGGATTGCTTGAGCCCAGGAGGTCAAGGCTGCAGTGAGCTGTGTTTGTGCCACTGTACTGCAGTCTGGGTGACAAAGTGAGATCCTGTCTCAAAAAAAAAAAGACCTAAATAATTTATTTTTTCTCCAGCCACCTCTCCCCTAAATAATTTAAATGGAGGGATATACCATGTTATAAAAGATTTAAGATTATAAGGATGCCAGTTAATCCTTACAGGACCACTGTGTTATCAAATGCCAGTTGTAGATTTGGATTGATTTTTTAAAAACCAGATACAGAAACTGCTTAGGAAATTAAAGAGTTTATTTGTTGAAGGAATTATAAGGAGGAAGGAGTTGGGAAACACTGTGGAGAGTTCAACAGTATTTTCTGATAAAGTTCGAGTAGTTTCTCGACTTCATGTTCTTCACCAAAGGGGTCCAGAGTTAGGGATCATAATGTTTGCGTGAGGGTCACAGCATACCTTTTAGACATGTCCCTGTCCCCCTCCGTGCCTAATATGATATATATAAGCTTGGAGCAGTCTTGCTTGTGGGATACTCTGGATAAGGAATAATACTTCTAGAATAGAGCTTCGGGATCATATATGCAGTGTCCCAAACTCAGGACCCAAATGGACTAAGATAAAATTTTTTTTGGAAAAAAATTATCGGTAATAAAGTCTATAATATAAATAGATGTCTTTATAGACTCTGTTGACCAAGCTGGAGTGTAGTGGTGTGATCTCTGCTCACTGCAGCCTTCACCTCCTGGGTTCAAGCAATTCTTATGCCTCTGGCTCCGGAGTAGTTGAGACTACAGGGACGCACTACTATGCCCAGCTAATTTTTTGTATTTTTAGTAGAAATGGGGTTTTGCCATGTTGCCCAGGCTGGTCTCAAACTCCTGACCTCATGTGATCCATCCACCTTGGCCTCCCAAAGTGCTGGGATTACAGGCATGAGCCACCACACCCGGCCAAATTTTTTTTTTTTGAGGTTGCACTATTTGGAGAAAAGATGATTCCTTACTATCCCAACTGTTGCTGTTTGCTCTCTGAAACTTAGATACCATACTCTAGGTTCAGATAACATAGTATTTTTTTTTTTTGGCTGTTATAATTCTTCATCCAAATTTTTGCTATCCTTATTTCAGTATGTATTAGATTCAAAATCACCATAGGGTGCAGTGCAGTAGAGTACACTCAGGCCTGAGCACAGGCCTCATTTGTTATCCTCATCTTCCGCAGGCTAACCCAGCGTGGTCCACGTGCATTCTTGAGCTCAGTGGGAAGTTGAATAACAAAGGCCAGTTACCCAGGTGTTTTTGATAAGTGTTGTTAACAAGTTTTTAGACGAGCTATAGGTCTCATCCTTTAATCGCCAGTTTAAACAGGGATTGTAATGGAACAAACCAACTGTAAAAATTCCTGTGAGTGAAGTAAGGGCCAAGAACAGCAAAGATAATTTTGATGAAGAACATGGTGAGGGACTCATTCTTAGTTATCAAAATTTATAAATCTATGGTAATTAAGATGCCATGAGTAAGGGATAGACATCAGATCACTGGAACAGAATAGAGAGCCCAGAGACCTACCTTGGGTGTCACTTGACCTAGGCTAGCTTATATTAATCCTGCTGGCCAGGTGCAGTGGCACATGCCTGTAATTCCAGCACTTTGGTAGGACAAGGCAGGCAGATCACCTGAGGTCAGGAATTCAAGACCAGTGTGGCCAACATGGTGAAACCCGGTCTCTAATAAAAATACAAAAATTAGCCAGGTGTGTTGGTGGGCACCTGTAATCCCAGCTACTCAGGAGGCTGAGGCAGGAGAATCACTTGAGCCTGGCAGATGGAGGTTGCAGTGAGCCGAAACTGCTATTTCACTCCATCCTGAGCAACAGAGTGAGACTCTTTATTAAAAAAAAAAAAAAAAAAGAAGTCCTGCTAAAAAACTTCAGTGGCCTGAAACATGAAAAGTTTATTTCTTGCTAAAACTGCATGTCCAGTGTGAATTGACAGCTAGTTTCTGCTCATCAAAGTTACTCAAGGATACAGCCTGACATCTCTGTAAATGCTTCCATGATTACTAAGGCAGAAAACAGGGAATGTCACCTTTGCTTATATTTAAAGTCATGTTGCCATGCCTAGAAAAATAAAAACTAGAATATTTGCAAACTGCTCTAATAACTAGTACATTATACATATAGGAAAACTTGAGGTTTTGCAGAAGAGGAACTGTTTGGTAAATTGTCCCAGGATAATTGATTGTCCATATGGGAAAAATAAACTAAAATTAGAACTCTACATCATACCATGCATAAAAATGAATTATAGTAGAGACCAAAGAGTAAAAATAAGAACTTTAAAGTTTTAGGAACAAATATAGGAGACCATCTTTAGTATTCCCAAAGAATTTCTTTGTCTTTTTTTTTTTTTTTTTTGAGACAGAGTCTCACTCTGTCGAATTTCTTTTTTTTTGAGACAGAGTCTCGCTCTGTCACCCAGGCTGGAGTGCAGTGGCACAATCTCGGCTCACTGCAACCTCCACCTCCCGGATTCAAGCAATTCTCCTGCCTCAACCTCCCCAGTAGCTGGGACTACAGGCGCACACCACTGCGCCTGGCTAATTTTTGTATTTTTAGTAGAGACGGGGTTTCACCATGTTGGCCAGACTGGTC